>NC_000010.11:15010000-15161515 GCF_000001405.40 Homo sapiens | reverse complement strand
GGTGTGGTGGCGGGCGTATGTAATCTCAGCTACTCGGGAGGCTGAGGCAGGCAGGAGAATCACTTGAACCCAGGAGGTGGAGGTTGCAGTGAGTCGAGATTGCACCATTGCACTCCAGCCTGGGCGACAGAGCAAGACTCTGTCTCAAAAAAATAAAAGTAAAAAATAAAACACATCCTGTCTTTTTCTTCTTTAACAGCATTCTCACATGATTTTTTTTCTTAGAGTGCGTGGATGATGTATTTTGAGTTCTTGCATGTCTGAAAATGCCATTCTTTTCCCCTCCCACATAATACATAGCCTGGGTGTGCATGTGACTCTATGATAACAATCGTTTTCCTTGAAACTCCATAAACGTTTTAATATCTTCCAGTATTTACTGGTACAGATGTTGTTTTCTTTGTGTTTTTTTTTTTTTTTTTTTTTTTTTTTTTGATTTTTGAGGCAGAGTCTCGCTCTGTCACCCAGGCCAGGCTGGTCTCGAACTCCTGACCTTGACCTCAGGTGATCCACCTGACTCGGTTCCCCAAAGTGCTGGGACTACAGGTGTGAGCCACTGTGCCTGGCCAGATGCTGTTTTCTCTGCTTCTCTGTCTTTTATAGGTAATCTTATTCTTTTTGTCTGTTTTAACTTGTTTTCAGTCTAGAAGCTTCTGGCATTTTTTCCCTGTTGTTCTATTACCAAAGGGTTTCCATGTCCTTTCACATGCTGGGATCGCCTGTCCTTTATTTTTTATTTTTTGCAATGGAGTCTTACTCTGTTGCCCAGGCTGGAGTGCAGTGTCGTCATCTTTGCTCACTGCAACGTCCACCTCCCAGGTTCAAGCGATTCTCCTGCCTCAGCCTCCCAAGTAGGCAGGATTATAGACGCACACTACCATGCCTAGCTAATTTTTGTATTTTTAGTAGAGACGGGGTTTCACCACGTTGGCCGGCTGGTCTCGAACTCCTGACCTCAAGGAATCTCCCCACCTCAGCCTCCCAAAGTGCTGGGATTACAGGTGTGAGCCACTGCACCTGGCACCTTTCCTTTACTATCTAAACAAAATGGCCTGAGCTGATACATGTTCATGGGGGTTTCTTGGGGTCTTAAGTTTTCATGGTCCTCAGGCACACCCACACTGCAGCCAACTTGCCCCATCACCGGGCTCCTTGTGCCTGTGTGTCCTTAGGGTGCTCTTTTTCTTCAACATTTGACCTTGGGTGGAACACGGTTATCTTCAGTTCTGTGTCTCTCACCACCCTCCTCCCAGGAATCACTAAAATCCAGCTATTGTGCACAGCATTTGCTGAAGCGTTTGTGGCTAATGGGGAGGGAGGGAGGTCTGATTACAGAGTAGCGCAGAAAACAACTTTGAATTCAGTGTCAGACATCATTGTTCACCAAGAGGAATTTGTTACTGCTCACGCCTTTCTGTGGGTCATGGCTTCCTCTGCTTCTGAGAGTGTCTCCTGATCTTTCTTCTCCTCTTCTCTAAGTTCAAGGTCAGCCCAAATGTCCTTTCTTTCATGAAGCCTTCCGCAGCCACTATGACCAAAGGCGCTGACCCCTGCCGGAAGCCCTGTAGCTCTTAGTGAGTGTATCTTTCCCGTGACATCTTTCCCAGTTGCTCTCACCTCATCTCCCCAGCCCTCTGCTCGGGAAGACCCTCATTCTCCTGCCCCAAGCTGTGGCTCCTAGAGGTGAGTTCCTTGTCCACAATCACAAATGGGAGATGTGGGTCTTTGCGTCTGTTGCTTAATGTGTGTGTAGCATCTACCAACCAGCTAGAGTAAAAGGTTTTATTTTGCTGGGCGCAGTGGCTCACGCCTGTAATCCCAGCACTTTGGGAGGCCGAGGCGGGTGGATCACCTGAGGTCAGTAGTTCGAGAGCAGCCTGGGCTACATGGTGAAACCCCATCTCTACTGAAAATACAAAAATCAGTCTGGCACGATGGCGGGCACCTGTAATCCCAGCTAATCGGGAGGCTGAGGCAGAATTGCTTGAACCCGAGAGATGGAGATCACTTTATAAGCACATACTGCAGTGAGCCGAGATTGTGCCACTGTACTCCAGTGAGCCTGGGCGACAGTGAGACTCTGTCTCAATAAATAAATAAATAAATAAATAAATAAATATTTTAAGGAGGTTTTATTTAAATATACAATAGGTTATCTGAAAATAAAGTATGGCTGGACTTTATTAGAATTAAACATTATAGAAAGTCAAGTACCCAAGGTCCATCTGTCTTTCTAACCTCTCTCCCTTTCTGTCTCAGTCTCTGTCAACTAGACTGCCCCAAGCATCTGTTCCTTAGTTCAGATTCTCCAGAAAGGATCTCACTGGTTTCTGGCCAAGAAAGGGATTATCCAGGCATGATCCAGTCCACTGTGATGGAGAAGGGAAAGGGAGGGGTAGAAGAGAATTGTGTGGTACAACATGGCCACTGAGGGCCACACCTTTGGTGAGACCTGTGGGCAAAGGGAGTTTTCAGGGAAGGACATAGTGAACAATGCTGGCACCTTGCTGGGACTGAATTGTATCTCCCTGCCAATTCATATGTTGAAGCCTAAATCCCCAACGTGATGGTGTCTGGAGGTGGCACCTTTGGGGGGTAAATAGCTTACAAGGGTGGAGTCCCCATGAATCGGATCAGTGTATGCTTATAAAGAGATAGAGTCCAGTGCTTTGTTGCTCTGCCAAGAATAAGGCCCTCACCAAAAACCTGACCCTGCTGGCACCCTGATCTTGGTGGACTTCCAGCCTCCAGAACTGTAAGAAATAAATGTCTTTTCTTTAAGTAATCAGTCTATCGTATTCTGTAATAGCAGGCTGAACTAAGACACACCTCAAAACATGTTTGCAGAACACAGCGTGTCTGCCTGTCTACTCACAGGTAGATTGTGTGCATGGAGACAGCACTTTCAGTCTCCAATCCTTGCAATACCTGGTACCTTGCATGTGTTTGTAACTT
The DNA here is from genome assembly GCF_000001405.40 of Homo sapiens. Lineage (NCBI taxonomy): Eukaryota > Metazoa > Chordata > Mammalia > Primates > Hominidae > Homo > Homo sapiens. Next base: position 15,158,560 of record NC_000010.11, on the reverse strand, counting down.
ACTAAAGATTTGCAGAATGGATTCCAATAGCTCTTAATTCCCATTGACAAATTTATTTCAAATTGTCTTTATTTTATATGCATTAAGAATATGTGAAGGCTTTTCTTTTTCTACTTCTCATTGAGAGGACTTTGGCTGTAGAGTTTTTAGTTTTGGTCTGCTATATAGGGCCCAACATTTTTAAATGGTAACTAATTTTTTGACCTCTTGGCATATGCTTATGTATTTTTCTTTTTTTTTTTTTTGAGACAGAGTATCTCTCTGTTACCCAGGCTGGAGTGCAGTGGCGTGATCTTGGCTCACTGCAACCTCCACCTCCTGGGTTCAGGAGATTCTCCTGCCTCAGCCTCCCAAGTAGCTGGGATTACAGGCGCCTGCCACCATGCCCGGCTAATTTTTGTATTTTTAGTAGAAATGGATTTTTGCCATGTTGGCCAGGATGGTCTTGAACTCCTGACCTCAAGTGATCCGCCCTCCTTTGGCCTCCCAAAGTGCTGGGTCTACAAGCGTGAGCCACCGTGCCCAGCCTTATATATTTTCCCTGGTTGACTCATTACAATAACAAATGAAGAGATTGTGGCTTATCAGTTTTAATAAGTTATCCAGGCCATAACTCAAATTCAAACTTAGCTTTTAAGTCTATCTGACTGTAAATCTGTTGCTTTTCACTAAACTACAGTCTCTTGGACTCTCAATAAGAGTAATTTGATAATGTCTCAAGGTCTTTTTCTTTATAAGTCATAGATTGATTACCAACCTGAACACCTTTGGAGCCAAAATTCACCAGTGTAATGGGTCAATGAATTAATTTTTTTAAAATCATACATTTCTTTGCTTAAAGAATATTGCAAATCAATAATTAGGAACTCTTTTGTCTCTAGTTCCTTAAAGGACTCCTTTTATTTTATAGCATCAGTGTACTTAGTAACAAGTTTTTTTCTTTTTTGCTTCTTTCATGGCTTAATCATCTCTTTTCTGACTGCCTTACCTGTAGCCTTGTACATATCAGCACCCCTTTCTCTGGAGCCTCTGCCCCCTGCCCCCAGCATCACCATCATTCAGAGTTCCACGAAGCCAGGTTCCTGTGAGAAGTGACATGGCCCACGGAATCTGGTTTTTCATCTCCTGGGTGAAAGCGCTGCCGGGAGGTACCCACTTCAGCCCTCTTGTACCCCATTGCTGCAGCCTATGCCCAGTCTGCCCTGGATGGTGGCTCTTTGTGGATGCTTTGAGTAAGTTAGTGGCCTGTCATGCTTTCCCAGCCTTAGGAGAAAACCTGGTTGGAGTCGAGGACTGAATTTGGATGTCACCTTTACAGTTTCTGTTTTGTTTAGTGCGCTTCTGTTCCTGGCTTAAACTCACAGTGCCCCGGGGAAATAGGGACTTCTTTATTTCCGTAGCTGTGTTCTCTCAGTGTTCCAGCTCATATAGTACCTTCCCAGAGAAGGTTGGGGATTCAGTTAACATAAGAAATTCCCATAGTTTTTTCCTTTAGTGTTTCTTTTTTTGGGAGGGCAGGGGGATAGTTGTTCTTCACTACTTTAGGGGTATTTATTAACATTTTAAGAAAACTGAAGAAAGAACCAGTGAAAGCAGAGTGCTTATTTTGGTTTCCAAATGAAGTTTTTAAAAAGTTCTTTTTGCGAAACCTTTTTTTTTTTTGTTGAGACAGAGTCTAGCTCTGTCGCTCAGGCTGGAGTGCAGTGGCGCAATCTCGGCTCACTGCAACCTCCGCCTCCCGGGTTCACGCAATTCTCCTGCCTCAGCCTCCTGAGTAGCTGGGATTACAGGCATGTGCCACCACGTATGGCTAATTTTTGTATTTTTAGTAGAATGGGGTTTCACCATGTTGGTCAGGCTGGTCTCAAACTCCTGACCTTGTGATCCTCCCGCCTCGACCTCCCAAAGTGCTTAGATTACAGGCGTGAGCCACCGCGCCTGGCCTGAAACCACATTTTTAATGTAGAACATTCGAATGAATCACTAAGCAAAAACGCCATGCCTTGGTATATTCATATATACATTTTCCTATTTATAAATATTTACAAAAATGCAAATATGGTAGCCTCCGCCCCGTATTAGTCCGTTCTCATGCTGCTATAAGGATGTACGTTAGACCGGGTAATTTTTAAAGGAAGAGGTTTAATTGACTCACAGTTCTGCATAGTTGGAGAAGCCTTAGGAAACTTACACTCATGGCAGAAGGGGAAGCAAACACATCCTTCTTCACAGGGTGGCAGGAGAGAGAAGAATGAGAGTGAGGGGGGTGAAAGCCCTTTATAAAATCGTCAGATTTCATGAGAACTCATTCCCTGTCATGAGTACAGCATGAGGGTAACCGCCCCCATGATTCAGTTACTTCCCTCCAGGTCCCTCCCATAACACATGGGGATTATGGGAACTACAGTTCAATATGAGATTTGGATGGGGACACACCCAAACCACATCACCGCCTTATCTGTGATTTTGCTTTCTGCAGTTTCAGTTACCCTTGGTCAACGTTGGTTCAAAAATATTCAATGGAAAATTCCAGAAACAATTCCTAAGTTCTAAATTTCATGCCCTTCCAAGTAGCATGATGAAATCTGGGGCCATCCCACCCTGTCCCGCCCTGGATGCGACTTTTCTCTTTGCCAGCGTCCCCGCCTGCAGGTCACTTAGTAGCCATCTCTGTGATCAAATTCACTGTCTTGGAATCACAGTGCTTGTGGTCAAGTGACCCTTACTTTACTTCCATGGCCCTAAAGCACAAGAGGAGTGGCACTGGCAATTTGGATACACCATAGAGAAGCCATAAAGTGCTTTCTTAAGTGAAAAGGTGAAAGTTCTCAATAAGAAAAGAAGATCACATACTGTGGTTGTAAGAAGGAATCCTTGGGGCCAGGTGCAGTGGCTCATGTCTATAATCCCACCACTTTGGGAGGCCAAGGTGGGAGGATCACTTGAGCCCAGGAGTTCGAGATCAGTCTGGGTAATATAGCAAGATCCTGCCTCTACAAAAAAAAAAAAAAAAAAAAAAAAAAAACTAGCCCGGCATAGTGGCATACACCTGTACTCCTAGCTACTCAGGAGGCTGAGGCGGGAGGATCACTTGAGCCCGGAAGTTCAAGGCTGCAGTGAGCTATGATTGCATCACTGCACTTCAGCCTGGATGACAGAGTGAGACCCAATCTCTTAAAAAAACACAACAAAAAAGGCTTTGCAGACGCCACCGCCACCAGGAGCCCTGTACTACCAGCCATGGTCAACCCCACCATGTTCTTCAACATCGCCATCAACAGCGAGGCCTTGGGGCACGTCTCCTTCGAACTGTTTGCAGACAAGTTTCCAAAGACAGAAAACTTTCGTGCTCTGAGCACTGGAGAGAAAGGATTTGGTTATAAGGGTTCCTGCTTTCACAGAATTATTCTAGGGCTTTTGTGTCAGGGTGGTGACTTTACATGCCATAATGGCACTGGTGGCAAGTCTGTCTACAGGGAGAAATTTGATGATGAGAACTTCATTCTGAAGCATACAGGTCCTGGCATCTTGTCCATGAAGCATACAGGTCCTGGCATCTTGTCCATGGCAAATGCTGGACCCAACACAAACGATTCCCAGATTTTCATCTGCACTGCCAAGACCGAGTGGTTGGATGGCAAGCATGTGGTCTCTGGCAGGGTGAAAGAAGGCATCAAGATTGTGGAGGCCATGAAGCGCTATGGGTCCAAGAATGGCAAGAGCAGGAAGAAGATCACCACTGCTGACTGTGGACAACTCTAATAAGTTTGACTTGTGTTTTATCTTAACCACCAGACCATTCCTTTTGTAGCTCAGAAGAACACCCTCCACCCCATTTGCTCGCAGTATCCTAGAATCTTTGTGCTCTCACTGCATTTCCCTTTGGGTTCCATGTTTTCCTTGCCCCCTTCCATGCCTAGCTGGATTGCAGAGTTAAGTTTATGACTATGAAATAAAAACTAACAAAAAATAATAATAATCTACCCATAAAATTGTGAAAAAGGAAAAATACCTTTGTGCATAGGCTATGAAGTTTAGGAGTGGGTACTAGCCATGGTTTTAGGCATCTCCTGGGAGACTTGGAACGCCTTCTTGAGGATAAGGGGCACCTACTGTATACTGTTTGTATTCATCTGTTGTCATTTGAAAGGAACTGAATGTCTTTCCAGGTCACCACACAGCCTGCACCTGAGTCAGGTCAATTGGCTGGCCATCCCGTCATGTGGTTCTACACAGGGTACCATTATTTATTTAGTCCCCTATTGCTGGACCCTCATGGCCAAGGCTGCCAGTGGGCCCCTTCTTCCACAGTGACAGTTTGTTCTGGGCACCTGGAGGGCCCCACTCATCCCTCCTGCTGGCTGGGATATGTGTACCAGTGGTAGGAAGTCATCCCACAGCACCTGCACCAAGCCAGCATCCTGGGGGCAGGGGAGACAGGACAGAGGGAGCCAGCCCTGCTGTCATTTTAGGGCACAAATTCCCCACTGAGGGATGCAGAGACCTTTTCACGAAAGATAAATGTGCTTGTGTTGTGAGCGGCTGTTATTTTGGGACTGGAGCCCACGCAGCTCAACCTGTATACTAACTAATAAAACGTCTGTGTGTAAGCCAGGTGCGGCGGCTCACGCCTGTAATCCCAGCACTTTGGGGGGCGAGGCGGGTGGATCACGAGATCAGGAGATCGAGACCATCCTGGCTAACACAGTGAAACCCCGTCTCTACTAAAAATACAAAAAAAAAATTAGCCGGGCGTGGTGGCGGGCACCTGTAGTCCCAGCTACTCAGGAGGCTGAGGCAGGAGAATGGTGTGAACCTGGGAGGCGGAGCTTGCAGTGAGCCGAGATTGGCCACTGCACTCCAGCCTGGGCGACAGAACGAGACTCTGTCTCAAAAAAAAAATAAAATAAAATAAAATAAAACAAAACATCTGTGTGTAGCTTTGGCCTTAGAGACATTTTCGTGTTTTCATTATGTTACTTTTTGAATAAGTAGTGTGACGTATTCAGAGGTCAGCTGTGTGGTACAAAATTCAAAAGCCATCAATGGGAGGCAACGAAGTTAAGTCTCATTCTCCCTGCGCTGAACTTCTCCCCCATAGGCAGCTCCTGTTGTGGACTCTTGGTGTGTCCTTCCAGTGGTGGCAAGGATGGGAGCATGTGCACATGTGTGCCTCTGCAGGCCTTCAACACAAATGGCAGCATGCCTCTTGATTTTTCACTAACAGCATATCCTGGAGGTCTTTATATATCAAAATACGTAGATCAACCTCCTTTTAGTTTTATTGTATTTTTTTAGAGATGGCGGAGGGGAGGTCTCACTGTGTTACCCAGGCTGGCCTGGAACTCCTGACTTCAAGTGATCCTCTGGAGTTGCTGGGATTACAGGCGTGAGCCACCATGTTCAGCTCCAACCTCCTTTTTAAAAAGGCGGTGTGTGGGTCCTTTCCACTCAGAGACTCCTCTCTCTATATATAGAGAGAGCTGTTTCTCTTTCCCTTCTCTTCTATTAAACCTCCATTCCATAAAAAAAAGGGGGGCTGCTGTATATTGTAGCATTGAATGGATACACCATTACCTCTTCAATCCATCCCCTATTAGTAGACAGTAAGGTAGTTTTAAGTCTTTTGTGCTAGTACACAGGGCTGAAGTTAATATCCTTGTACATGTATCACCTCTCCAGACTATTTCCTGATGAATATTTAAAAATCTTTCTCAGTTAAGTTTTAGGAAGGCAGTGTGGTGTGTTGAGATGAGTTTTAAACCAGGAACCAAGAAGCTTCCTTCACTAACCCTCCCTTGGACTTTGGAAGTCAGTTAACCCCTCTGGGGATGAGTGTCTTTATTGGTAAATGAAAAAAACTGCTTAAAAGGAGCCATTTGTCTTTAAAACTCATGATTTGACAAGTACATACTTTGTCCTGGGCCTGGCCCCATCCTCAGGGATAACAGAAGGCTGGGGAAGGTTCTGAGAGGGAATAGCTCTGAGAAAACCACAGACTTTATGTATCAGGGACTCATCAGACCCCAGGGTTCTTCTTGAGTTCACTTTTTGCTGTCACTTCCTAAGGAAAAGGGGAAAAGATACGTTTTGGCAAAGGAGAGACCCCAGTCCTGCTTGTCCCAGCTTTAAGCCATCCCTTCTAGACACTGCCACTTGCTCCTTGTCTTGTAGACAACTTCTCAGAGCTCTGTGGTATTTCTCTGCTTTTAAAAAATTTATTTGTTTCTTTCCTCTACCATCCCAGAGTGGACCATGACCTCTGGCTCCCTTTTGAATCTGGGAGGTGCATTTCCTTTTGTGTTTGAGGACTCCACGTTCACCTTTGTGCTTCCTGGTGAAAAGCGCCATTTGTACAGCCTCACCAACTTGTCTTTGACCTTTGACTTTGCTCATAGAAATTGTTTTCTCCGTCTCTCATCTCTGGCCTTTGCCCTTGGACACATATCACAGGCTCATATCACAGCCTTGGATCAAGCTATCTCATTTCTACGTTTGAGTATTACAACTTCTGTTTTGTTTTGTTTTTGTTTTTGAGACAGAGTTTTACTCTGTCACCCAGGCTGGAGTGCAGTGGCACGATCTTGGCTCACTGCAACCTCTGCCTCCCAGGTTCAAGTAGTTCTCCTGCCTCAGCCTCCCGAGTAGCTGGGATTACAGGCGCGTGCCACCACACCCAGCTAGTTTTTTATATTTTTGGTAGAGACGGGGTTTCACCATGTTGGCCAGGCTGGTCTTGAACTCCTGACCTTAGGTGATCCACCTGCCTCAGCCTCCCAAAGTGCTGGGATTACCGGCATGAGCCACCACACCCAGCCAACTTTTTTTCTCTTTTTAAAACTGTCTAGAACTCAGCTCTTCTGAGCCACCAGCTCCCTCGAGGCTCATAAGCCACGGATCTGTCCCTGTTTGTCTGTCAAATGGCTGAACAATTTGAATTTCATCTTCAATTGTATATAATGATCTTAAAGATATGTAAATAACAAATTTTTAAAGCATTTAAAATATTTCTTCCTATATTCCGACCTTGCACTGTCTACAAAGCCAGGTCTTACTTCACAAACTAAACTTCATGTGAGACGTGTTTCTGGCCAATGAGTGTTATATGAAAGTTTATTATAGTTTAACATTATCTCTTATCAGAATTGGGCTTTTGTGTGATGTAGACACCAAAATTGTTTGATAATTATGAAAGGAGGAGGCTGGCCAGGCACTGTGGCTCACACCTACAATCCTAGCACTTTTGGGGGCCGAGGCGGGCAGATGACCTGAGGTCGGGAGTTCAAGACCAGCCTGACCAACATGGAGAAACCCCGTCTCTACTAAAAATACAAAATTAGCCAGCATGGTGGCGCATGCCTGTAATCCCAGCTACTTGGGAGGCTGAGGCAGGAGAATTGCCTGAACCCAGGAGGCGGAGATTGCAGTGATCCGAGATTGCACCATTGCACTCCAGCCTGGGCAGCAAGAGTGAAACTCCGTCTCCAAAAAAAAAAAAAAAGGAGGAAGCTAATGAGATAGAATATACATTCCCACATTTCAAATATGGTACAGGTTTAGGAGAACCAAAAACTTGGAGCAACCCAATATGTAAGAAGAGGGACTAGTTAGTAAACTAGACCAGAAGCTAGCGAAGAGGGACTAGTTAACAAACTGGACTAGAAGCTAGCAAGGGGGATCATCAAGATTCCTCTCTTCCAGCCACGCTTGTATTGATTCCCGGGCGTATTGTTCAGCCATTGTCTAGAGCTAGGCATCCTCTGCTGCTAACAGCCGTGTAAATATTTAAATTATTGGCTAGTCTCAGTCACCTTTGTCCAAAGCTGTAGCCTCAATAGCTGTAGCCACCTGCCTGCTTGATGGATCTTTGATGATGATCTTTGTCCCTCACTGGCCATACACTTTTGGGACGGCTCTGAGCTCTGAGCCTTCTAGGGCTTGTCCATGACTTACTGCTTTGCACAGAGACGATGTTGCTTTGTAGATACTTCCTACACCAATCCCAAGAGGAGAAGGGGCACACTAAGTATGGGTTGAAGCTACCAGACCCATGATGGAGCTGAAATCCTACTTTAGATGAGGCCGTAGTGCAGCCAGATGATGACAGCTAGAAGGGTGTCTTCCTGCTCTGGACTCTGCATTACACTTGGGAAAAAAAGAGTGAAGAAACTCATACTGGAATTACACAAATGAACCACTGACAAAAACTCATTTGTGTGACTTCTTCAAACCCTGAACTGCAGGTGAAATCCATTATCGAATTTGATGGTCACATGATCAACTTAGGTAAGATGGGTGCCCCTGATCCAGGATGAGGACCAACTTTGGCCAGTACACCCTGATAACCTGAGTTAACCTTAGCTAACTTCCCCAACGGTGGGTGTGAATTCTCTTCCAGCAGCAGGTAGTGTGATGAACCTCTGGGTTACCTTTGTTTTTTATCAACTGTACCAAAACCTCATATTTTTTTCCTAGTAGTGTTATTCCTTCTAGTGAAGTGTTTTGGGATTCCAACCAGAACACCAGGGCATGTGCACACACGTAGCACAAAGATCTATTACAATTCCATAAAATAGGTGAATAAAAAATGTCCAAAGATCGCAATTAGGCAGTTTACAAAAGACCTAAAAATTGCTGGTAATTATCTGAAAAGATGGTCAACCCAAGGAAGTACATAAATGAGAGACAACGTAGGGTAGTAATTATGTGGATTTTGGAGCCAGGCTGTCTGGATTCAAGTCCTGATTCTGCCATTATTAACCATGTGACCTTCAGCAAATTACTTAAGCTCTCTCTATTTCAGTTTCCTCATCTATAAAACGGGAATAATAATAATAATAATAGCACTTACCTCCGAGTGTGACAGTTTACAAAGTTGATATCTGTAGGGTGCTTGGTACAGTGCCTGACACATAGTAAGTGTTGCGAAGTGTTGCCTGCTGTGGTGATGATTATGATGGTGATGGTGATGATGGTGGTGATGATGGTGGTGATGATGTTGGTGATGATGGTGGTGATGGTGGTGATGATGGTGATGATGGTGGTGATAATGATGGTGGTGATGATGGTGATGATGATGGTGGTGATGATGGTGATGATGATGGTGATGATGGCGGTGGTGATGATGGTGATGGTGATGATGGTGGCAGTGATGGTGGTGATGGCAATGGTAGTGGCAATGGTGGTGATGATGGTGATGATAATGGTGATGATGGTGGTGATGATGATGTGATGGTGGTGATGATGGTGATGGTGATGATGGTGGCAGTGATGGTGGTGATGGCAATGGTAGTGGCGATGGTGATGGTGATGATGACAGTGGCAATGATGGTAGTAATGATATGATGGTGATGATGGTGGTGATGATGGTGGCAGTGGTGGTGGTGATGGCGGCAGTGATGGTGGTGATGGCGATCAATGGTAGTGGCGATGGTGGTGATGATGATAATGGTGACGATGTTAGTAATGATATGGTGATGGTGATGATGGTGGTGGTGGTGGCGGTGGTGGTGGCAGCAGCAATGCCAGACTGCTTTACAAAGTGGTTGTTTCAGTTTACATTTTACCAACAGCATGTGAGTGTTCCCTTTCCTCACGTTCTTCTGATATTCTTAGATTTTAAAATGTTTGCCAAATCAATGGGTGAAATTGAGCATGTTTTCTTAAGCTTATTGGTTGTTAAGTCTGCCTCTTTTGTCAAGTGCTTATTCATATTGTCAGCCCATTCTTCTGTCAGTCTTCTTTTTCTTAATTTTTTTTTATTGATTTCTCATTCATCTAGCAAATATTGAGGATCTTTTATATGTCAGACACTATTTTCGGTGCTAGGAATACAATAGAAAACACTGTTTTATGGATCTTATGTTCTAGTTAGAGAGAGACAATACTGTTCCAGCTAGCAATAAATTATATTTAAAAACTAAAGCAGTACAATCATAATAATAGCTGGCTTGTACCGAATGATTTCTGTGTGCCAGCTACTATACTAAATTCTTAGATGTATGAATTCATTTTATCCTCACATTTTTTCTAATACTATTTATTTATTTGAGACAGGGTCTCACTCTGTTGCCCAGGCTGACTGTAGTGGCACGATCACGGCTCACTGCAGCCTCAAACTCCTGGACTCAAGTGATCCTCCCACCTCAGCTTCCTGAGTAGCTGGGACCAGAGGCACACACACACCAACTTGCCCAGCTAATTTTTTATTTTTTGTAAAGACTAGGTTTTGGTATGTTGCTCAGGCTGGTCTCGAACTCCTGGACTCAAGCAGCCCTCCTGCCTTGTCCTCCGTCCCAAAGTGCTGGGATTACAGACATGAGCCACCACACCTGGCCTAATACTGTTTTTTGAAAACATCCTTTTACAGCTACAGAAACTGGAGCACAGAGAGGTTAAGTAATAAACTCAAAGTCACACAGCTGAGAACTTGTGGAGTCAGGATTCAAAGCCAGGTAGTCAAACTCTACTTAATGCCTGCAGTCCTGGCCAGAATATAATGTTGTCTTTCTATACCATCCTAGAGATAAAATGTGAAAGAGAAAAGACCTTTGTATATATTCTGGCTGGTAATACTTTCTCATTTGTGTTATAAATGTCTAACCTTATTCTGTAACATAAAAATTTTTTTATAATCACTTTACCATGAAATGTTTAACTTTGGTGTACTCAAAAGTTATTATCTCTTATGGTTTGTACTTTTGAGTCCTCGTTTGAGTAATTGTTTCCTTCACGGACATTATGAAGTTATCATTTAATTCTTTCACTTACTCATTTGACAGATGTTTACTTGAGCATCTACTAAATGCCAGACACTGTTCTAGGCACTAGAAACATGTGGAGTAAATGGACATCACCACCTTCACTTTTAAGGTTTTGTTTTCCAAGTTTGGGTCTTTCACCCATTTGGAATTTGTTTTTTTTTTCATGTTGTGGGATGCAGCAAACTAATTTTATATTTCTGCATATAGGAATTCAGTTTTTCTCATGCTATGTATTAAAAATTTTTTTTTCACTACTGATTTATGATGTGATCTTTATTATATATCAAGTTTCTTTACTATCATGGGTTGTTACTGATATGTCTGTTGCATTTCATGGACCTGTTTATCTGTTCTTCAGTTCCGTTGTAGTTTAATAATGTTTTCCTTACAAAGGTATTGTGATTATTATACACTAGTTCAAAAATGCATGAAAATACGAATGAGAAGATTACAATCAGCTATATTCCCACCATTTTCCATGCAGGAACTTGGAAATTCAGGGGGGAAATATTTGTAAAATAATTAGTCTCAAACCACTAATGTTTCTTGTATTTCACAGTAGAGAGGAGCTAAGTTATCCCTCTGGTGGTACCTGATAAAATTTAAAATTACTTTTTATCCTTGGAATTCACATACCAAAAATTGAGCTCCTTTGATGTCACTTTTTTTTTTTTTTTTTTTTTTTTTTTTTTTTTTTTTTTTGAGAGCGAGAGGATCTTTCGCTGTTGCCCAGCTGGAATGGAGTGGTGCAAACATAGCTTACTGCAACCTTGACCTCCTGGGCTCAGGTGATCCTCCCACCCCAGCCTCCCAGGTAGCTGGGACTACAGGCACATGTCACCACATCTGGCTAATTTTAATTTTTTTGTAGAGATGGGGGTCTTTCTGTGTTGATCAGCCTGGTCTTGAACTCCTGGGATCAAGCAATCCTCCCTCTTTGGCCTCCCAAAGTGCTGGGATTACAGGCGTGAGCCGCTGCACCCAGCCCGATGTCACTCTTAAGATTGATGTGTTAGTTGTATGAGACTGGGCTGCTGTAATCAACAGACCCTAACATGGGATTGAACAACACAGTGGAAGTTCCCTTCTCATTCATGGACCAGCCCTAGGCACATGTTCTGACGATGGTGAGGGAGTTCTCCTTCATTCTGTCATCCAGGGTCGAGACTGCGCCATCGTGTGGCTCTGCCATCCTTGGGGCTCTCACCTATGTCTGCATCCAGACAGCACAAAGGACAGGAAGGACATGGAGAAGCCACCCATAGGGGTTTCTGGGCAGCAGGAAGTGACACACATCACTTCCGCTGGCTGGAACTCAGTCAGTGGCCACACCTGGCTACAAGGCAGCTGGCAAGTGCTGTCCAGCTGTGAGTCCAGAGAGAGAAACGATGGGTTTTGTGGATGTCATCCTGGACCACCTGTAAAGCGTTTACATGGCTCTGTTACATTGGCCCTCCCATTAAGTCTTGTCTGTAGTTTCCATGAATACTTCTTTGAAGAGATTTGCTGGATGTGCTCATTAAATTTTTGCCATTTCCATGGCTGAGAAGGAATGTGTTCGTTTCTACTTGAGGTCTGAATGTGCCACTGATTCTCTCTGGATGGAAGCTGAAGTGTGCGGGCTTTCAGAGGTGGCAAAACTGAGAGCCTTTTCTTTGTGGACCTTTCAAGTGAAACCCTGGGGAAGAGGGAGGTGGGACTTGAGTTCTTGAAGACCGAGGAATCTTTTTAAAGGGCCACATGATATGCAGGGCTGAATTTCCATGACTTGGTAATCAGCCTTGAGTACTGGGAGTCTGAATTAGTCTTTCTTCATTGGATTTCCAGGGAGAGTCTTCTCTTGGGCCTGGATTTGCCTTCAGTATCTGGAAGCCCGCTTAGCACCTCTCCCACCCAGGCACGGGGGCATCTCTTTCTGTCATGCGTCTCCCTCCAGAGTACCTGGAGTCCTGTGGGACGCAGACCCCTGGCTAAGCAGCCACAGCTGACTCCTGATCTGCTCTGGCCATAACATCATCCTGTCACCCCCAGGGACAGGAGTGTCACCTGTCAACACTTCTGTTTCATTTGATATAATTCACATACCATACCATTCACTCATTTAAAGCATACCATTCAGGCCAGACTTGGTGGCTCACACCTCTAATCCCAGCACTTTGGGAGGCTGAGGCGGGTGGATCACTTGAGGTCAGGAGTTTGAGACTGTCCTGGCCAACGTAGCGAAACCCCGTCTTTACTAAAAATATAAAAATTAGCTGGACGTGGTGGCACGTGCCTGTAATCCCAGATACTTGGGAGACTGAGGCAGGAGAATCACTTGAACACAGGAGGCAGAGGTTGCAGTGAGCTAAGATGGCACCACTGCACTCCAGCCTGGGCGACAAAGTGAGACTCTGTCTCAAATACTAAAAACCAAAAATAAATAAAGTATACCATTCAGCAGCTTTTAGCTTATTCAGAGTTGTGCACCCATCAGTACAATCAATTTTAGAACATTTCCATCACTCCCAAAATAAACCCACATCCCTTAATCATGCCCAAGCCCTCCATCTTCCCAGCCCCTGACCACCACTAATCTAGTTCTGTTTCTGTGGATTTGCTTGTCAGGACGTTTTATAGACATGGAATTATACAATACATGGTCCTTGGCAACTAGTGTCTTTCACTTAGTGTAGCGTTTTCAAGATGCATCCATTCATGTTGCTGTTTTTATCGACTCTTTGTTTTTTTTATTGCTGAATAATCCATCCTATAGATGGACCACATTTCCTGTCTTCATTCATAAGAGGATGGTCATTTGGGTTGTTTCCAGTTTTGGGCTGTTATGAATGATGCTGCTATGAGTATTTGTGAACAAGTTCCTGTGTGGACATAAGTTTTCATTTCTCTTGGTTATGTACTTACGAGTGTAATGGCTAGGGTATACAGGGAATCTGTGTTTAGTGTTTTGAGGAACTGTCAGCTGTTTTTCAAAGCCGCTGCCCCATTTTACATTCCCATCAACAGTGTATGAGGGTTCCAGCGTCTCTCCATCCTCCCCAGCACTGGCTCTTTCTTTTTTTTTTTTGAGACGGAGTCTCGCTCTGTCGCCCAGGCTGGAGTGCAGTGGTGCAATCTCGGCTCACTGCAAGCTCCGCTTCCCGGGTTCACGCCATTCTCCTGCCTCAGCCTCCTGAGTAGCTGGGACTACAGGCGCCCGCCACCACGCCCAGCAAATTTTTTGTATTTTTAGTAGAGACGCAGTTTCACCATGTTAGTCAGGATGGTCTCGATCTCCTGATCTCATGATCTACCCGCCTCAGCCTCCCAAAGTGCTGGGATTACAGGCGTGAGCCACTGCACCTGGCCTGGCTTTTTCTTTTTGATTATAATTATCCTCATGGGTATCAAGCGGTGCACTGGTCAGCTCTTATTCTCAAAGTCTCGTTTCCTTCATGGCCTCAGGAAATGGAAAAGTAGCTCTTCCTCACTGAAGGGCTGGGAAGCTCTGCCTCTCATCATTGTATAAATGCTATCAGATATGTCTGGGAGTTTGGAGGCTGGGATGACCAACTTAGTGCCCATTTCTGTAGCTCCCTGTCAATTTAAAGTTGAGATGAAAGAGAGAAAAAGAAAAACTCTTGCTGAACTAGAGTAAACAAAAATGGTGACGCTTTCTCCATTATGCCAAAATAAGAATATAAATTTTAGCAACACCGTTTGGAAGAAAAAAAAGTTTTGATGTGTAGCATCAATTAACTCCCAAAATGGAGTTTTGGAAACCTCATTGAACAGGCATTGTAAGTTATAGAATAAGTGATATAAACTTACTTAAGGATTTTTTGGTGAAATAGTCTGGTATTTTAATTTTTTAAAATGTCTCCAGATCCCCTCAAGTTTCCATGAGTTTATCTGTTTTAGAGACTATTATTATTGTTGTTGTGTTGTTGTTGTAGTTGTTTTTGAGACAGGGTCTCACTCTGTTGCCCAGGCTGGAGTGCAGTGGCATGATCATGGCTCACTGCAGCCTCCCAGGCTCAAGTGATCCTCCCACCTTAGCCTCCCAAGTAGCTGGCACCACAGGTGCACACCACCATGCCCAGCTAATTTTTTACTTTTTATGGGGACAGGGTCTCACTATATTGCTCAGGCTGGTCTCAAGAGATCCTTCTAGGCTCAAGCGATCTTCCCGCCTTGGACCCCCAAAGTGCTGGGATTATAGGCGTGAGCCACCATGCCTGGCTGAGCAAATTACTAACTGACACTCAGGACAAATATATTTTCATCCAGTTGGATAGGCATCTACTTCAAAGCGTCCTTCCCAGTCACTGCCTTTTATTCTGTATCTCTCTGTAACCAAGCTTCTTGGAAATTTGGAGATATTTTAAAGTGGAAGTATTATACAGAAAAGCTGTGAGGTCCCAGGCTCCTAGTGGTTTCTGGAAAGCCATAACCAGTAGCAGTTAGAATACATGGTAGAAGTGGGAGAGGGATAATCCCCTAGGTTGTGAAGTCACAGGCATGTCCACCATGATTTTGGTCCCTCCCACCCAGCCTGTGGCCCCAAGATAATGCTGAACACATAGTAAATGTTCAATAATTACTTGATAGTAAGTTGCAGTAGGCTTTACCATTGAGGTTGAAACAATGGTAGCTTTCAGAAGTATTTTATGGCCTGGGAATATGTGATGGCACCACCTCTAGAGCCAGACTTATCCACTCATTCATTCCACAAGCATTTGTATTAGTATGTACTGGTGTGAGGCATTGGAGACCTTAGGGACGCAATTAAGAATAGACTTCTTAAGTAGCACATACAAATGCATACATAAATCACACTATAACAGTACAACGGATTCACCAATTCACAGGGTGCCAGCAATAGGAACACCGGGAGAGGAAAGCCTAAAATAGTCCTACTCCCAAACCAGAGAATATACAAAACTGAACGTATCTGCAGCATATTTCTAGCTCATGTACCTGGCTGTGATATGTTTGTTTAATCCCAATTGCTAGTCAGATATTGATGAGTGTCCTTGGCCACCAGGTGATTTTAAATATAAACATCATGATAGCACAAATTTGATTCTATTGATGAAAATAAACTGCTTGTTGTGAGGTGGCAAAACCTTACTATTTTTAAACCACTAGGGTACCATTTGACAAAGTCTTAATGTATCTTCCAAAATAAGCACTGTTTTCTATTTTAGAATTGGAGTGGAAATATGAATCTATAGCTCAAGTGCTCAGTTCTTTTTTCTTTTTCTCCAGCTCTGTTGCCCAGGCCAGAGTGCAGTGGCACAATCTTGGCTCACTGCAACCTCCGTCTCCCAGGCTGAAGCTATCTTCCCACCTCAGCCTCCTGAGTAGCTGGGACTACAAGTGCGTGCCACTGTACCTGGCTAATTTTTTTTTTTCCTTTTGGTAGAGGCTGGGTTTCCCCTTATTGCCCAGGCTGGTCTTGAACTCCTGGGCTCAAGCTATCCACCTGCCTCAGCCTCCCAAAGTGCTGGGATTACAGGCATGAGCCACTGTGCCCAACAGCGTGCTTAGTTCTTAAACAGTTTCTCTCACTATTGCACATGCCTTTCATATTTGGATGTCACAGAGGAATTATCCATTTTAAATGGAAAAGTTCATTACTTTAAAACATGAATAACCAGTGGAAAGAAAAGTTCCTTTATAACCTAGATGCTAGGTAACAAAACTAGCACTTTGTGTTTTGTTTGTGATTGTTTGTGACAGGGTCTCTCTCTGTAGTTAGACACTTAAAGCTTTTCATTGTTAGCCCCCCTAGTAAAAATCTTTATCAGGGAACATTTCCTCCTCTGCAAAAAAGTGGTTTGTTTAGTTCTGTTGCTTCAAGATTAGTGTTCTGTCGTACCCAAGAGATCTTGATAATGGAGTTTTTCATATCATGTATCTCTCCTCCCGAAAGCTGACTTAAACGTAGATTAGGAGAGTAGTGATAACCGTGGAAACTATTTTACTTCAGTTATAAAATGTGGTTTATCTCTGCAATCTTCCTGCTTCGTGACTTCTAAGCACCTGCAGGATGACTGAGCGGGGGCTGGTATTCTTCTGCATTGCCTGTTACCGTCTTCACTCCACTACCTTTTATTCCTCACCTACATCCTAACACAGTTATTTTCTACTGCATGTAACAGCTGTGTTTTTTGAAATGATTAATTGTATGCAATTCAATTTCATTTAATGATTTTTGTTTGTTGGTTGGTTTCACCATCTTTGCATTTCCTGCAGAAGTCCTGGAGGGTATTTGGGAGCCAAAAAGAAAAAGAAGAAACAGAAGAGAAAAAAGGAGAAACCAAATTCCGGAGGCACCAAGTCAGACTCGGCATCTGATTCCCAGGAGATTAAAATTCAGCAGCCTTCGAAAGTGAGAGCTCTGTTTTATTTTTTCCTCTGTGTGGTTTCTCGTGCATGAGTGGGTTTACGCAGTTTAGCGCGCTGCTGCATCAGATGTGTAGGGACTTTGTTGTGACTGTGTGTTGAATGCCACTAGTAACTGGAAGCTCTTGACAGCCTCCTTAAAATGGACTTTGGCACCCAAATAACGAAGGGGTACACTGTGCTTTTGTGTGTGTGTGGATACCTGCTGTGTTTTTCCCTTTTCTCAGTGAATTTGTATTTAGATTGTCGTTCTAGAAGAAAGTCTCAGTGTGAGCTTGTTAGGTTTTTTTGAAATTACACTTTAATATTTGATTACTTTTCGTTCAGAAGATATTCACATTGTAATTTTTCTGGGTGTCTGTCTAATTACCTGAATAGCACAACACCATCTGGCAGCAGATTTCAGCGGGAGCAGCCATGGGTAAGTCTCTCGTTGACTTTGAATTAAACCAGTTTGCAGCGGTCGTTCTTCATTCTAATGCCAAGGGTGGGAAATAGTTCCTGACATTCTCCTAGTTTAAACCAAACCAGAAGTTGTCCAGCTGGGCCCCGTGTTGGCAGATGGTGGCCAAGAAGAGGGTTGATTGTACTGCGTGGGTGTCTGGTGGCACAGATGGCAGCCATCCCTGTCTGTGGAGCCAACCCCCAGGCACCCTGTATGCTGGGCCTCTGGGAAACACAAAGCCCTCTTGATGCAAGAAACTCACAGTGAAAAGGGTAGAACCAGCCAGGCACGGTGGCTCACGCCTGTAGTCCCAGCACTTTGGGAGGCCGAGGTGGGAGGATCCATTGAGCCCAGGAGTTCAAGGCTGCAGTGAGTTATGATCACACCACTGCACTTCATCCTGGACAACAGTGAGAGACCCTGGCTGAAAAAAATAAAAAAAGAAAAAGAAAGAAAAGAAAGAAAAGGGGTAGAATTAGAAATATTACAAAATAGAGATGATTTTGATGATCGTACCTACAAATAAATTATTGTGAATAGGCTGGGCACGATGGCTCATGCCTGTAGTCCCAGCACTTTGGGAGGCCAAGGCAGGCGGATCCCTTGAGCCCAGGAGTTCAAGACCAGCCTGGGCAACATGGCAAAACCCTGTCTCTACTAAAAATACAAAAAGTTAGTTAGGCACGGTGGCATGCACCTGTAGTCCTAGCTACTTGGGAGGCTGAGGTGGGAGGATAGCTTGAGCCTGGGAGGTGGAGGTTGCAGTGAGCCAAGATCACGCCACTGCACTGCAGCCTGGCGACAGAGACCATGTCAATCAATCAATCAGTCAATCAATGTGAGTAGCATGTGGTATTGTGGAAACAGCTCAAGGGGTGATGTCTGAGACCTTGAGCTTGGTCTCTGCCCCCTTGCTCACTAGTTGTGTGCCTTTGCCTGGGTACTGCACTTCCTTCAGCCCAGTTCCTTCTCTTCTCTCTAACTCGCAGTTCGATCTTGAGGTTCCAGTTGGAGCATTTTTATTGAAGAGTTTTTACATCCTAAAACAGTGCATATATATATATATATATATATATATATATATATATATATATATATAGTAGTTGTTACCATTCTACAAGCTTTGTGGATTTCCTTTTTTCTTATGCAGAGTTTCTGTTGTGTTCCATGAAGTGAGACTTGCAGGTAGTTTTGATGTTGTCACCTGTTTTACACAAAAGAACCAGGAATCACTGAGAAGGAAAATTACTTGCCCCAATTTTTCCCTGACTGACTGCAGGGTGAGAAGAAAATGGAATCTTCTTCCCTAGCTTTTCAACTTGGTTCTCGGGTAATAAATATGCTACCCACTAGATACAGCTTTCCAAGGTAACTCATAGAGGATACCACCATAAGCTTGCAAAACACTCTTCCCGTTTCTAAATGTCGCTTCATCAGATAAACGTGGCATCCCTGACCTGCAGCGTGGACATCTCCTGTTGCTTTCAGCATCACCATTGGTCTCTGCCCATCCCTTCCACCTCTAGTGACTGTGAGCCTTTCCCCTCTCTCTGGTCACTTATGAGAAACTAGAGCCAAGCCAGGCAGTGGCGAACTCTTGGCATTATATGGTAGGTGTATTGGTCAGGGTTCTCTAGAGGGACAGAACTAATGGGATGGATGGATGGATAGATAGATAGATAGATAGATAGATAGATAGATAGATAGATAGAGGGGAGTTTATTAAGTATTAATTCACATGATCATAAGGTCCCACAATAGGCCATCTGCAGTCTGAGGAGCAAGGAGAGCCAGTCTGAGTTCCAAAACTGAAGAACTTGGAGCCTGATGTTCGAGGGCAGGAAGCATCCAGTATGGGAGAAAGATGGAGGCTGGGAGGCTAGGCCAGTCTCTCTTTTCACATTTTTCTGCCTGCTTGTATCCTAGCTGCACTGGCAGCTGATTAGATTGTGCCCACCCAGATTAAGGGTGGGTCTGCATTTCCCAGCCCACTGACTCAAACGTTAATCTCCTTTGGCAACACCCTCACAGACACACCCAGGACCAATACTTTGTATCCTTCAATCCAATCAAGTTGACACTCAGTAGTAACCATCACAGTAGGGAATTTCTTTTCTTAATTTGGAGGAAGTCAGTATTGTCTTAAGATGGGCTTTTTTCTGCTGCATTTTTAAAATCTGGGGCTCTTTCCCTTTAAGCTTATGCCAACTCTAGATAGCACTGTAAATTACAGTGGACTGCATTGCAGAATATTCTGGTCTACATACAAGAACCAAAATAAAAATGATATTTGGATTCTTATAAACTTCTTAGTGTTATAAAACTTGGACATTTTTTCCAAGGTACTATTAAATTTGGAAAACAATGGGTAAAGAGTATAGTTGCTGGTTAGTATGCCACAGAAAGCATGTGTGGAAGAAAAAGAGAATATACCTGCCTCTTATATAGGAGTGGAATCGTGGGAAGTTAATGTCGGGTAGATATTCATCTCACCTTGCCTGATGCACACTCATTCTTCCCAGGTAGTGCTACTATGGAAGGTGAATGGACAGGCATGAGAAATGATCATAGCTGAGTTTCCCTTACTGCTTTGTCCCTGTGGATTTGGAAATTGTGTTTATTTGAATCTACTTTCAGAAAGCATTTAAATAGAGCCGTATGTGGTTGTTCATGCCTGTAATCACCACATTTTGGGAGGCCAAGGCGGGCAGATCACTTGATGTCAGGAGTTCAAGACCAGGCTGGCCGACATGGTGAAACCCTGTCTCTACTAAAAATACAAAAATTAGCCAGGCGTGGTGGCACAAGCCTGTAATCCCAGCTACTCAGGAAACTGAGGCAGGAGAATCACTTGAACCCAGGAGGCGGAGGTCACAGTGAGCCATGATCATGCCATTGCATTCCAGCCTGGGCGACAGAGTGAGACTCTGCCTCAAAATGAAAAAAAAAAAAAAAAAAGAAGAAGAAGAAGAAAGAAAGCATTTAAATAGTGAACATTGGGATATCAATGTTTCGCAAAGGGACATTTCATGTAGAGGTGTGCTGGTCAACCCATGAGCTAATTAGGTAGGGAATAAATCACTCTGAAGTCTTCTTCATGGAGTTGGTCATTTTGGTCATTGGGTCATGTGGAACAAAGATGCTGATTCATGTCTGTTGCAAAATAGTTTGAGTTTGATATATTACTGTTAGAAGATTTAACTCAGAAACCAGGAAAGAAATCAAGGAACAAAAAATTAAATCAAGAAAGAAAAAGTACCATGACAAATTCATTATAGTCATTGTAGTTCTATTTTTATAAGACTGGGCTCTACTTTGCCATTTTAAGCTAAACTGATGCACAGTTAAGCATTATTAGTTGAAATATGCTGTGATCTCAATTCCTATTTAAATTGTAAGGTCTTCTAATAGATGGTGTTGTTGGAGTTCAGATACACATGAATTTCATTTTGCTAGAAATTTGCTCCTTTTAATGTTGGGGACTTAAAAGACACCCAAGGAAAAGAAGTCATCCAAAGATATAATAATGAGAACCGGAAAAGTATTTTGTTAAATTTGTATGTGTCATTAAGATAGGACCTTTATGATTTTGATGTTAAACAAATGTAAGATAAACAGCTTACAAAAACTGTGGCCATCTTGGATTGTGCTGTGAGACTTCCAAGCAGAGACAAAAAGACTTTCACCTGCCTCCAGCTGGACTTCAGAACTTCGTTTCCTTAGGGTTCTTGACAGTGTTTGTATGAAACAAACCCTGTTCTGTGCTGTGTACGATGAGTAAGCTTCCCAAGTTAAAATTATTGCTCCACACCACAGATTTCAGATTCCAAGTGGAACAGAAGTCCAAAGTTGCTGTTTATAAACTTCTAAGGGTCGATTGTACCTTTCAATGGTGTCCACCCTGTGTTGACATACAGCAAAACCGAAGGGCTCTTGAAACTTCTAACCACTTTCTGAATTACAGCGAAGAATATTCTTTGCATGGTATCAAAGTTCTACAATGTCTCAGTAATTTTACATATTGAAAAAAGTCATTGATTTCCATATTCAGTCCTCTGCGCTGTCTTCTCATTTCAAGTAGTCTCATGTTCCATGTATTATTACGTTATTTGAGGAATTAAAAAAAAAAAAAAAAGAACTGGGGAATCTCCAAGAGCTGGCGGGAATATTGGCTTTGAGAAAGGAACCTTAGAATTCAAACGTAATGTTTTACCTAAAAAGGAGTCCAGTTTCCAACACTTGGGCTGGGAACGACAGGCTATGGTTGCCCAGGATCTGAAGTACAGAGGAAATTGCTTGTCCTTCTGGTGGGAGAGTTTGTCTCTAGAGGATCAGGAGGATCAGGAGGGTCAGGAGAAGGGCAGGGTGTGGCCGGGAGGAAGGGGCATGGTTAGAGATTTCTTTTCTTGATCATTTTCATCCCAGTTCAGCACTGAGTTCAGATTTCCCTTCCTTCCTTCCTTCCTTCCATCTGTCCTTCCTTCCTCCTTTCCTCCCTCTCTCCCTCCCTCCTCCCCCTGTCCCTCTCCTTCCTCCTTCCTCCCTCTCCCTCTCTGTCTCTCCCCCCTACCTTCCTTCCTTCCTTCCTCCCTCGCTCCCTCCCTCCTTTTTTCTTTTCTTTTCTTTCTCTCTGTCTCTCTCCCTTTCTCTTTCTCTCTCCTTCTCTCTCTCTCCCTCCTTTCCCTTCCCTTCCCTTCCCTTTCCCTTCCCTTCCCTTCCTTTCCCTTTCCCTTTCCCTTTCCTGACAGAGTCTTGCTCTTGTCACCCAGGCTGGAGTGCAATGGCGCGATCTCAGCTCACTGCAACCTCCACCTCCCAGGTTCAAGCGATTCTCCCTCCTCAGCCTCCCGAGTAGCTGGGATTACCTGCCATCATGCCTGGCTAATTTTTGTATTGTTGTAAAGACAAGGTTTCACCGTGTTGGCCAGGCTGGTCTCTTAACTCCTGACCTCACGTGATCTGCCCACCTCGGCCTCCCAAAGTGCTGGGATTATAGGCGTGAGACACCACTGCCGATCCTCTCTCTTTCTTTCTCTCTCTCTTTCTCTTTCTTTGTTTTCTCTCTCTCTCTTCTTTCCCTCCCCTCCCCTTCCCTTCCCTTCTCTGCTGTGTTTCCATTCTAGAAGTTCTTTCCTTCATCCCCTCGTTGCTCCTGCAGAGCATTTACTCTGACAGTGCCCCCCACCCAAGGCTCGTGGCTGCCTGGCTGTTGGATGACAGTAATGCATGCACTGCACGTCTCCCCCAGAGGAGTAATGCCGGGGACCATTTGTAGATGGATGGGAAACTGAAGCAAAGCGTGCTTCAATTTAGATTCCCCAAACTGCCAGAGCCCCAATAAAACTAGACAACTGTTGTTACCTTTAACAGAGGGTTTGCTTCTATTTTCATGTGTAACACACAAGCCCATGGCCTTGACTGGGCTTGGAGGAGGATTGTTAGTGTTTAGGTATTGTAGTCTCTGAGGCAGATGCACGTGCGTCTGCTCAAGTTTAACATCAGCAGCCGCTCTCTCATATTCTGTGTCTGTCTTTGCTGTCGTAGAATCCCAGTGTTCCAATGCAGAAGTTGCAGGATATCCAGAGAGCAATGGAGCTGCTATCCGCATGCCAGGGCCCAGCCAGGAACATTGATGAGGCTGCAAAGCACAGATACCAGTTTTGGGACACACAACCGGTACCAAAACTAGGTAAGTTTTTCTGCTTTTCTCTTTTTTTCCCCACAAACAAAGCTGGATGAACAACAACAACAACAACAACAACAACAACAAAACACAAAGAGTGTTAACTTCACATGTATCATTTATTTCATACCACAGATTGGAAATCTATGCAAGACTAATATTTTTCTTCTGAAAATATAAATATTAGATAGTGACATTGGCTTTTGATAACCATTATTTTAGTCCAATTTCTATCCCAATAAAAACATCCAATTTCCCCACACTTGAAACATTACTAGTATTATTATTATTTTTGAGATAGGGTCTCACTCTATCACCCAGGCTGGAGTGCAGTGGCATGATCATAGCTCACTGCAGCCTCCACCTCCTGGGCTCAAGTGATCCATCCTCCCATGTCAGCCTCCCATGTATCTGGGACCACAAGTGCACACCACCACACCTGGCTAATTTTTGTATTTTTTTGTAAAGACGCTGTTTCAGTATGTTGCTTGGGCTGGTCTCGAACTCCTGGGCTCAAGTGATCCACCTGCCTTGGCCTCCCAAAGTGCTGGGTTACAGGTGTGAGCCACCGCACCTAGCCCATTAGAGTATTAAAAATGTATATAAGGTTCTGTGATGGAAGGACCAGGCCCTGAAGGTCCCTCATGGAGCAGGTGTCTGTTGAGTGTCTGTTATTAAATGCCAGGCATAGTCCAGGGCACACACCTGGAAACAGTGGTGGAAAAGTAGGACAAAAGGTGGCCAGGCTGGGGAGGAGCGGCCACACTGAGGTAGAGAAAGGCTTTAGTTAAGCAACAGATGCTGGGAGAAAGTGACGTGTGATGCGTAAGCTTCTGTCGGGAATTCCAAGGGGCCCGTCCCTTGAGGACCAGAGGGCCTCAAGCCTAAGGAAGGCACCAGGAAGGCCCTGAGCTGAGGCCTGCCCCGGTCATCATGGCCAGAGCACTGGGAGCAGGGGGCAGGGAGGGTGTGGAGAGGGGCCGAGGCAGGCAGCAGCCATGGGGAAGAGCCTGGGTTTTAGTCCTACCATGTTGGGAAGCTCTGCAGAGAAGGACTTGGAAAACTCTTCTTGGTGGAAATCACTAGAAATTGTGATGGCCTGAACTACGCTGCTAGCAGTTTAGATGGGGAGAAGTAACCAGCCTTGAAATTATTTTTAGGTTTTGCTGGGAGGGGCAGAGGTCACCGCAGCCCTTTCCTCTCCCAGTTTGTGGAAATGCAGTAAAAAGAACACACCTCCCAAGGCTGTTGAATGAAACCTACATTGCTTATGACAGTGTGTAAGATAAGGCTGCATTGTAGGCCTTGAGACTCGGAATCACTGTTGTTTTGTAATGTCATCTTTGTCACTGGATGACAAAGGATTTCTCCTTTCATTTAATTGGCAAAATAGGCCAGCTGTGGTGGCTCACACCTACAATCCCAGCACTTTGGGAGGCTGAGGTGGGAGGATCACTTGAACCCAGGAGTTTGAGATCAGCTTGGGCAACATAATGAGACTCCGTCTCTACAAAAAAAATTTACAATTAGCCGGGCACTGTGTTGTACAACTCTAGTCCCAGCTACCTGGGAGGCTGAGGAGAGAGGATCGCTTGAGCCCAGGAGTTGAAGGCTTCAGTGAGCCATGATTGCACCACTGCACTCCAGCCTTGGCGACAGAGTGAGACCCCGTCTCAAAAGAAAAAAGAAAAGAAAAATAATTGGTGAAACAGCAATGATTTCACACCACTGCCTAGCTTTCCTGTTTCAGTCCAGAGGCGCTTGATATAACAGCATCTTTTTAAAGATTATCTGAAACCCGAGGGCCCTAAGTCAGATTTTGCTTATGTCACTGACCACTTTGGATGGTTAGAATACTTTGTCATTTAATATTCTCGCTTTTTGCCTTTCTTTTTTCTCTTTCTCTCCCTGTTCAGATGAAGTCATAACATCTCATGGTGCAATTGAACCAGATAAAGACAACGTACGCCAAGAACCGTATTCTTTGCCACAGGGTTTTATGTGGGACACTTTAGACTTGAGTGATGCCGAAGTGGTGAGTGAGTAAAAACCTCTTAAATTCAACTCCTGCATTCACACATTGCTTCTAAGTTGATTCTGAGCACCATGGATAGGACACTTGTTTTATCTTATAGCTCAAGGAGTTATACACGTTGTTAAATGAGAATTACGTAGAAGATGATGACAATATGTTCCGATTTGACTATTCACCCGAGTTCCTGTTGTGGTAAGTCTCATCGATCACAGATGTCGTGGATAGGCGCTGCTGACTTGGGGACTCCTGCGTCTGTTCCTGTGTTCTTGGACAATAACTGGTGCCTGTTTTCTTGTCTACCGTGACCTCAGGGCTCTGCGTCCACCAGGCTGGCTCCTGCAGTGGCACTGTGGGGTCAGAGTGTCTTCAAATAAAAAACTGGTCGGGTTCATAAGTGCCATCCCAGCAAACATTCGGATTTATGACAGGTACATGTTTAAGCTCGTCCATGCGGTTTTTATATGTTTATTTTCTAAGAATTACAATTAGATTAGGCCTTTAAAAGTTACTGAATGCAGGCCAAGCGCAGTGGCTCACACCTCTAATCCCAGCACTTTGGGAGGCTGAGGCAGATAGATCACCTGAGCTCAGGAGTTTAAGACCAGCCTGGTCAACATGGGTGAAACCCCATCTCTACTAAAAATACAAAATTAGTTGGGCGTGGTGGTAGGCACCTGTAATCCCACCTACTCAGGAGGCTGAGGCAGGAGAATTGCTTGAACCCAGGAGGCGGAGGTTGCAGTGAGCCGAGATTGCGCCACTGCACTCCATCCTGGGCAACATGAGCGAAACTCCATCTCAAAAAAAATAAAAATAAAAATAAAAATGACTGAATGCAAGCTGTCCGGTGATCAGGGAGGTTGTGTATGTGTGGAGGCAGAGGCTTTATGGAAACTCTCTGATTGGTTTTGCTGTGAACCTAAAACTGTTTTAAAATATAAATTTATTAAGTAGTAAAGAAAAAAAAACGGACTGTGAATAAAAATAAAGGACAATGGTTTCTTTTTCTCTTTTTCTCTCTCTGCCTCTCAATCTCATACATGCTCACACATATATGTATCAGAAAAAACGAAGCCTTGGCCAGGCACAGTGGCTCACACCTGTAATTCCAGGACTTTGGTCGGGGCCGAGGCTGGCAGATCACTTGAGGTCAGGAGTTCGAGACCAGCCTGGCCAACATGGCGAAACCCCATCTCTACTAAAAATACAAAAATTAGCCAGCATAGTGGCACGTGCCTGTAATCCTAGCTATTTGGGAGGCTGAGGCACGAGAATCACTTGAACCCAGGAGGAAGAGATTGCAGTGAGCCAAGATTATACCACTGCACTCCAGCATGGGTGACAGAGCAAGACTTCATCTCAAAAAAAAAAAATTACTTAAAAATTTTTTAGGAGAGATAAAGCTTTCTCTCCATAGGATACATTGCACTTTTAGTTTGGATCTCCAGCCCGGAAAGTCAAAGATCCAGCTATGAAAGTCAAAGATGTCATATATAATTGGTCTCTTTACTTGTCAGTGTATTAGGTTAGCTTATTTACTGTGAAAAGCATTTGATCTCAAGGAATATTTTGTGCCAAATGAAGTGTGTACCTGGAAACAGAACCAGGAACAGGATTTGAAGATCTAGGAGGTTTACTGTAGTTCAGAGCGCACCAGCTCTGGTCTGCTCAAAGCCCCTCTCAGGGGTCCCAGGGGTTTGTATCACACTCCAAAGCAACATCTTATCAGATTCTGCACCAGGATGACTCAGTTATTACCATAATTTAGGAAAAACAGATCTAGAAACTTAAAGACGGGCAGGTCGTAGTGATTCATGCTTGTAATCCTAGCACTGGGAGGCTGAGATGGGAGGATTGCTTGAGGCCAGGAGGTCGAGACCAGCCTGGTCAACATAGCGAGACCTCATCTCAAAAAAGGAAAAAAAAAAAAAAGGAAAGAAACGTAAAGAGCCATAGCTGATCCATTTTCTAAACTGAAAACGTATAATGGACCAAAGTCCCAAAATGTATTTAGAACAAGAGGGTTGGAGCCTCCGTGCGTTTTACAATCATTTTGGCAGGGAGATATGGGGAATAGTGTTTCCGTCTGAATTTGTGAAATGTCTAAGTGATAGAATATTTTTGTTAAATATTGTGTTAAAGAATGGCTTTCAGGCCAGGTGCGGTGGGTGGTTCACGCCTATAATCCCAGCACTTTGGGAGATCGAGGCAGGTAGA
Organism: Homo sapiens; assembly: GCF_000001405.40. NCBI lineage: Eukaryota > Metazoa > Chordata > Mammalia > Primates > Hominidae > Homo > Homo sapiens. Next base: position 15,131,027 of record NC_000010.11, on the reverse strand, counting down.
TCATGAGGTCAGGAATGCGAGACCAGCGTAGCCAACATGGTGAAACCCTGTCTTTACTAAAAATACAAAAATGAGCTGGGCATGGTGGCGTGCACCTGTAATTCCAGCTACTTAGGAGGCTGACGCAGGAGAATCGTTTGAACCCAGGAGTAAGAGGTTACAGTGAGCCAAGATTGCGCCATTGCACTCCAGCCTGGGTGACAGTGCGACAATCTGTCTCAAAAAAAAAAAAAAAAAAAAAGAAAGAAAGAAGAAAATAGAATGGCCTTTATGTTCTTTTTTTTCTTTTTCTTTCTTTTCTTTTTTTTTTTTTTTTTTTTTTTTGAGACAGGGCCTTGCTCTGTTGTCCAGGCTGGAGGGCAGTGATGCAATCATGGCTCACTGCACCCTCTGCCTCTCAGGCTCAAGTGATCCTTCCACCTCAGCCTCCCAAGTAGCTGGGACCACATGCATGCGGCAACATGACTGGCTGGTGTTTGTTTTTTGTAGAGATGAGAGTCTCAGTGTTGCCCAGGCTGGTCTGGAACTCCTGGTCTCAAGCAATCCACCTGCCTTGGCCTCCCAAAGTGCTGAGATTACAGGCGACAGCCAGTGTTCCCAGCCTGCATTCTTATTCTTGGATATTTCCTGGGTATCATCTTATTTTTTAAAATGTGTTGACTCTTCATTTTGAATCTCGTTTTGACTCTTAATCTTCACCATCTTTATTTCTTAGTGTGAAGAAGATGGTAGAAATCAACTTTCTTTGTGTTCATAAGAAGTTGAGATCGAAACGGGTAGCCCCAGTGCTAATCCGAGAGATCACTAGAAGAGTGAACCTGGAAGGGATCTTCCAGGCTGTGTACACCGCGGGAGTGGTTCTTCCTAAGCCCATAGCCACATGCAGGTACCAGTACCATATTTCTACCTCAGGTCCTCCCTTTATCAAAAATGTTGAGCCTCACCACTGTTCTGCTAGATGTAGTTTTTGCTGGTAGCAGAGATGGAGACTAGAACCTAGAATCACCAAGTCCAGTATTCTTTCTGGTATATCATTTGCCACTTGGTGATTAAAAAAAAGTTTTTGACATTTTCCTACTAATGATGCTGGATCTATACTTTTTTTTTTTTTTTTTTTTTTGAGGCAGACTCTTACTCTGTTGCCCAGGCTGGAATGCAGTGGCGTGATATTGGCTCACCGCAAACTCGCCTCCTGGGTTCAAGTGATTCTCCTGCCTCAGCTTCCCGAGTAGCTGGGATTACAGGCATGTGCCACCACACACAGCTAATTTTTGTATTTTTAGTAGAGACAGGGTTTCACCATGTTGGTCAGGCTGGTCTTGAACTCCTGACCTCGTGTGGATCTATACTTCTAAGTCTATTCCATGTGAAAGATGAATGCTGTCTCTACATGGGAAAACCTAGGACATGATGATCTTAAAATTCCAATGTCATACCATTTTCTTTCCACCCCAAAGATCAGTTTTCTGCCATGCTTTGCAGCACCACCAAAGTGTCCTGAAAGTCTAATAAGCATCCATTCAAAAGCCTCAGATGTATTTGTTTGTTCAGAGTAGGAAGACCTAAGCTATGTTTTTACAACTTCGTCTGCACTAGTCAAGCTTTCACAGGTTATTCCAGTGAGAAAATGATCAGATTCCCACAAGACTAACCTGTTTCTAAAACATCAGAGTTTATCTCCCCACCCCTCACCACTGTTTTTATTGACTCAAATAGGATGAAACTTAAAATTACTATATCCTGTTAAATTATTACATTCGTTAAGTAAATGGAATACTAGACTTCAGGGGTATATTTTAATATAAATCACTTATCCCAGAGCCTGGAATCACTGAAGAAATTTAAGCTAGTTTTCAAAAAGTTGTTTTCTTTGGTGTGTAGGCTGTAAAAGTGAAGGTGACTAATTTAGGGGATTTATTTTCATGTTTTTAAACTTTCTGATTGGCCTTTTGTAGAATCAGTGATGGTCCTTACACACTTGGAAACCTGGGTATGATTAATATTTCTTTTTTGTGTGTGTGTGAGACGGTCTTGCTCTGTTGCCCATGCTGGAGTGCAGTGGCATGATCTCGGCTTACTGCTGCAACCTCTGCCTCCCAGGTTCAAGTGATTCTCCTGCCTCAGCCTCCCGAGTAGCTGGGATTACAGGTGCACACCACCGTGCCTGGCTAATTTTTGTATTTTTAGTAGAGATGGGGTTTCACCATGTTGGCCAGGCTGGTCTTGAACTCCTGGCCTCAAGTGATCTGCCCACCTCAGCCTCCCAAAGTGCTGGGATTACAGGCATGAGCCACCGTGCCCAGCCAACTAATATTTCCTTTGCAGTTTTAAGATTCCACTTTAGTGAAAAAGATGAAAGGTCACAAACTCCTGAGGAACATAACTGGAGTATAAGATGTATTTTAGAGATTAAAACTGGACGGATAAAATGATGACATAGGATGAGGGCCTCTGTCTAGTACAACGTAAGTATTCAGTAAATGCTTATGTAACAGCCAAGCTGAGACAAAGAGTGAAAACTTGTAGAGTTAGAAATCAATTTGATTTTAAAACCTTTATTGTATTCCAGATACTGGCATCGATCACTAAACCCCAGAAAATTGGTAGAAGTGAAATTTTCTCACTTGAGTAGAAATATGACTTTACAGAGAACAATGAAGCTATACAGACTTCCAGATGTAAGTAAGAATGATTTGCAGTTTTTTGAAGCTGTAACAACTGACGCTTTTAATGCAGAAAAGAATTATTTGCAGGAGTCTAAAAACTGACTGGTGTGTCTGAGGAAGTGAATATGGAGCGAAAGAGATTTCATGGAACTCGGGAGCTAGGGAAGGTAGGGAGTTTGTTTGGAAATGCCAATCTTTCCTTTTTTCCCAAGGCTCTTAAAGTTGTTTCATTGGTAGTTGGATAAGACTGAACTCAAGGCAAGTAAGTTTTGAAATTTGGGAAATTTATGGTCTGTTAAGTAAGAAGGAAGAAAAGTCCAGGCTGCTGATCTCTTAATGCGTTGGAACTCAGGAATCAAGTGTAGAGGAGAGACCCAGCGAGTGGAAATAATGTCTCATTAAATTATCATCTTCTTAAACTATCTCGTTCTCAATGTGAAAAGTTGTCATTTTTTTTTTTTTTGGAGACAGTCTTGCTCTGTTGCCCCTTCAGCGCAATGGCACAATCTCAGCTCACTGCAACCTCTGCCTCCCGGGTTCAAGCGATTCTCCCACCTCAGCCTCCCAAGTAGCTGGGACTACAGGCACCCGCCACCACACCCGGCTAATTTTTGCATTTTTAATAGAGATGGGGTTTCACCATGTTGGCCAGGCTGGCCTCAGACTCCTGACCTCAAGTGAACCGCCTGCTTCAGCCTCCCAAGGTGCTGGGATTACAGGCATGAGCCACTGCACCCAGCGAAAAGTTATTTATTTATTTTATTTTATTTATTTATTTATTTATTTATTTATTTTTTTTTTTTTTTTTTTTTTTTGAGACGGAGTCTCACTCTGTCGCCCAGGCTGGAGTGCAGTGGCGGGATCTCGGCTCACTGCAAGCTCCACCTCCTGGGTTCACGCCATTCTCCTGCCTCAGCCTCCTGAGTAGCTGGGACTATAGGCGCCCGCCAGCATGCCCGGCTAATTTTTTGTATTTTTAGTAGAGACGGGGTTTCACCATGTTAGCCAGGATAGTCTTGATCTCCTGACCTTGTGATCCGCCTGCCTCGGCCTCCCATAATGCTGGGATTACAGGAGTGAGCCACCACGCCTGGCGAAAAGTTATTTTTTTTATTTTTTTATTTTTTGAGACAGAGTCTCGCTCTGTTACCCAGGCTGGAGTGCAGTGGCTGGATGTTGGCTCACTGCAACCTCCGCCTCCCGGGTTCAAACAGTTCTCCTGCCTCAGCCTCCCAAATAGCTGGAATTACAGGTGTGTGCCACCACACCCAACTGATTTTTGTATTTTTAGTAGAGATGGCGGGGGTTTCACCATGTTGGCCAGGCTGGTCTTGAACTCCTGACCTTGTGATCCGCCTGCCTTGGCCTCCCAAAGTCCTGGGATTACAGGTGTGAGCCACCACGCCCAGCCAAGTTATCATTTTTAATAGGGAAAAATATAAATGTGCTTTCTAGACTTGGCTTTATTTGGGGCTTGGCTATATTAGTTATCTATGGCCATGTAAAAAATGACCACAAACTGAGCTGCTTAAAACAACATTTATTATCACACAGCTTCTGTGGGCCAGAAATCCAGTCACAGCTTAGCTGAGTCCTGTGCTTTGTTCAGGGTCTCTCCTGAAGTTGCCACCCAGGTGTCAGCCAGGGCTGAGGTCTCATCTGAAACTTGACTAGGGAAGGATCCATTTCCATGCTCCTGTAGTTGTTGGCAGGATTGAGTTCCTCACTGGCTGTTGGACCAAGGGCCTCAGTTCTTTGCCATGTTGGATTCTCCATAGGGTAGCTCACAGCATGGCAGCTTATTCATCAAAGCCAGTGAGAGAGAGAGTCTATAGAGAGGATCTGCTGGCAAGATGGAAGTCAGAACCCTATGCAGGTGATTCATGAAAGTGACATCCAGTCGCCATTGCCATTTCTTTTTTTTTTTTTTTTTAAGATGGAGGCTCGCTCTGTTGTCCAGGCTGGAGTGCAATGGCACAATCTCAGCTCATTGCAATCTCCGCCTCCTGAGTTCAAGCAATTCTCCTGCCTCAGCCTCCCAAGTAGCTGGGATTACAGGTGTGCACCACCACGCCCAGCTAATTTTTGTATTTTTAGTAGAGATGGGGTTTCACCATATTAGTCAGGCTGGTCTCGAACTCCTGACCTCAGGTGATCCACCCGCCTCAGCCTCCCAAAGTGCTGGGATTACAGGTGTGAGCCACTGCGCCCAGCCGCCATTGCCATTTCTATTGGTTAGAACCAAATCACAGGTCCTGCCCACACGTAACAGGAGCAGATCACACCAGCTGTGAACCCCAGGAGGTGGGATCACTGGGGGCCATCTTAGAATCTGTGTGCCACTGATGGGATCTTTTGTTTGAAGTGTTGTGACGTGTGAATTGAAATAAAATCTTCGGCCAGGCGCGGTGGCTCACACCTGTAATCCCAGCACTTTGGGAGGCCAAGGCGGGCAGATCACAAGGTCAAGAGATCGAGGCCACCCTGGCCAACATGGTGAAACCCCATCTCTACTAAAAATTAAAAAATTAGCTGTGGATGGTGGCACATGGCTGTAGTCCCAGCTACTAGGGAGGCTGAGGCAGGAGAATCGCTTGAACCTAGGAGGCACAGGTTGCAGTGAGCTGAGATCACGCCATTGCACTCCAGCCTGGCCACAGAGCGAGACTCCATCTCATAAATAACTAAATAAATAACTAAATACATACGTACATACATACATACATACATACAAACTTCAAAAATGCCTCTTTTTTTCACTATGGGCAAATGCTGTTCCACTTTGGTCTCTCCAAATTTCAGTTTCTTGAACCTCAAGCAGCCTAGCTTATGTACAAGGAAAAGACACACTTACATGTAGGTTGCCTACAATGGAGTGAAGAATAAGGAGTTTTAGCACATACCATTGGTTTACTCACAATGATTTTCTTAAAGTGCTAAAGCTATTTTTGACTTGACTCCATTCATCAGCCTTAATATTTTTGTACAAGAGTCAATCTTCTCCTGGGTATAGGCGTGTATTATGAAACCAGACTGTGGCATCTTACTTCCAGTGAACCTGGGTTCCTGGTAGCAGTCCTGTTCCAGTCGTGCTGTGATAGTGACTGCCTTTCCCCCACCCATAAATTGAAGGTTATGAAGTGCTTTCAAATACATTATTCAATTTATTCTCACAGCAACCTTTTGAAGTTAGTACTTCTTATCCCCATTTTACAGATGAAGAAACTGAGGTATGTGACAGTTGGCACTTAGGCGAGGATGTGTTAATATCACCAAGTGGAGGGCTTGGGATGCAGGCCCCAGACCTCCATGTTTCCCTGTTAGCTCCCTCTGCCTCTGCCATCCCCTCTAACATTACCCACTATGGGGACACCATGGCTCAGCCCCACTGAATGTCTCACTGTGAGTACAGCATAAATCAAGGCAGAAAAGGACGATTGTCAAGATGCAAACAGTTCTCATTGGCTTGCCCCAGTCTCCTTTCCCCCTTTTAAGTCATAGGAAAGGAAAGGAAAATAAAGAGTAAATTAATAGAATAAAAGAGAGATTAAAGTACAGATATTATGAAATTGGAAGGTGCTGGCAGCAGTCCCTTGGGTGTCTGCCTCTTGAGTTAAACTGGACAGAACTGCATACACCGGATGCCCCTTCCTCTCCTATGGGCCCAGATGGGTGATACCACTGCTAGCAGTCAAGTTATTTAAGAACATTTTTGTACCATTCAGCGTAAAAGCAAACTTATGGAATACAGCTTTTGCTGTATAGATCAATCTCATTTTCTGCTTCATTGTTACTCTTTTTGCTTGTAGGAGTGCCAGCTTTCTGTCTTTTTCATGGACTTTTGAATATAGGAGCTAACATTTATTGTGGCCGGCGTTATGCTCGACATTTAACAGCCGTAGTCTCATTTACTAATCACAACAGCCACAGGAGGATGGGTCCTTATCCCCATAGCACAGAAGGGGCCATGAGAACACAGATTGACTTGCTCAGAGTCTGCTGGCCAGAAGCAGAGCTGTCGCAGGGCCTGCGCCATTCACAACTGTTACCTAAAATACTAAGGTTTCCCCAAGAAACACGCCTTACGATGCCTCCCTACCCTTTCAGTGTTTGGGGAGATTTTATTTTGTTTTGTTTTTTTGATCTGGTGTTGAGTATTTCCAAGTTCGATTTTGCGCATCTGTGTCAATGAGCTGAAAGGTAATTTGATGTTGATAAAAAGCAGAAGTCAGAGAATGATCCACTAAGGTCTTAGCACTGTGCTGCAAGGAGGGTGTGCTTGCTTAGACATGTCGAGGCATATAAGGTGTTCTATATTTAGTGGCATTAGATGGTTTTTTTAGTGGTTAGCATTCTGTTTGCTCCTTTTTGAATCATATAAATAACCATAATCATTGCTTACATCTCTTCTCTGGAATCTTGGCTCTCAAACGGTTTGTACCACAACTTGACAGATAACAACACTACTGTTTTTTAATAGAGCTCTGAGCTTCATTTCCTTATGTACTTATAAGCAGATTTTACACAGATTTCAATCTACGTAGAGGCCCATGAATCATGCATATTAGTTGGGCCATGGGAAAGGATATCTGATTCAGATACAGAGTTTGCTTATGAAACTGAGATTTTTCTTATTTACTGGAAATGATTCTCTGCATTTTATTGAACTCTCAGAAAACATGACCGCTTCACTATTCCATTATACGGAAGCTAGCCATTTTAATGTAAGCCCAATAGCCTTCCTGGTTCTTTCTGAGGACAATAGTTATAATTTGAGTGTTTGTTTTGCTTTTCAAAAGTTATTTCTTTTTTTTTTTTTTTTTTTTTTTTCTGTGAGACGAAGTCTCGCTTTGTCGCCAGGCTGGAGTGCAGTGATGCGATCTTGGCTCACTGCAACCCCCGCCTCCTGGATGCAAGCAATTCTCCTGCCTCAGCCTCCTGAGTAGCTGGGACTACAGCCACGTGCCACCACACCCAGCTAATTTTTGTATTTTAGTCCATGTTGGCCAGGATGGTCTCGATCTCTTGACCTTGTGATCCGCCTGCCTCAGCCTCCCAAAGTGCTGAGATTACAGGTGTGAGCCACCGTGCCTGGCAGTATTTCATTCTTACACAGATTATTTTAGCTATTAGTCAGCAAATGTAAATATTCTTACCCTGTTTTCTAGGACTTTCTGTTTTTTATAGCTGGTACATCCTGGTGTGCTCTTATGCTTTAATGCTTCTATAAAAATTTGTTCAAAATGCTTATAAGTTGCCAAACTTATGATACTTTTTACCTGAATTTAGGCAACATATTGCTTGTCTAAATTCTGCTACTTATTTTTCTAACCTTTAGAGACCTAAGATAGCAGTTCTCAAAGTGTGGCCCAGGGACCTCTGGAAGTCCCCCAAGATCTTTGAATCTATGCAGTCATTTTTTTTTTTTAACTATTTTCATAATAACACTAGTATGTAATTTTTTCACTTTCATTCTCGTCTGAGTATACTGTGAAGTCTTCCAGAGGCCATGTGGCATGTGTATTTCTGTAGTCTTTTGTTTAAAAATGTTCTCAGTTTTGATTTCTAATGCGATAAGTGTGGATATGCATAACCCACATAAGCAAAGCTCTTTGGAGGTACTCAATCATTATTAACAGCGTAGGCCAGGTGCAGTGGCCCATGCCTGTAATCCCAGCACTTTGGGAGACCGAGGTGGGCAGATCACAAGGTCAGGAGATCGAGACCATCCTGGCTAGTACGATAAAACTGCATCTCTACTAAAAATACAAAAAATTAGCTGGGCGTGGTGGCACGTGCTTGTAATCCTAGCTACTTGGGAAGCTGAGGCAGGATCAAATCACTTGAACCCGGGAAGCAGAGGTTGCAGTGAGCTGAGATCACACCACTGCACTCCAGCCTGGGCGACAGAGTAAGACTCCATCTCAAAAAAAAAAAAGAGTGTAAAAGGGTCCCAAGACCAAAATATTTGAGAACTGCTGCTTTAAGGCGATCTGCTGGGCAGTTCCTTTAGTGGTTTCACAGTTGGATATTCAATGAATGAGAATTGTGCTCCAGAAGAATGTTTTGCTCTAGAAGGAAGTTGGCAAATTTTTTTTTCATTTCTGAATGTTCTCTATTAACAGATATCATATATCCTGTGGCTTTCATTAATTCATCTAATTGCTTGATATTGTTGATTGTTACTGAACCAGTAACAAAAGAAAAAAAATTCTGATATTGAGAAAGGCTATTTGAAATTTATCAAGCTAAGTCTGCCTCATAGCAGAAACTAATTTTTTAAATGACTATGATATATATTTTATATGGTTTTGGTCTTCCCACTAGCATTTAGAAGTGCTTATTTATTTCCAGTGGAGATCTGGACATTTCTGACTCATTGGTTTTGAGAGGTACTAAAAGACTAAAGGTATGCATTGCCTGTTAAATGTGAAGGACTTAAATTCTCTAAATTTAGATTATTAAATGGCATTTTAGCTGAAGTGCTTTAGACATGACATCATCATAATAGAATGGCTTATAGTAAATATTCAGCTGAGGACTGTTGGTGTATAAATACAGAGCATGCACCTCCCATTCCCCTTTCCCCCAGCTAATCGATAATCAATCAGCACTGTGTGTCACTGAAGCTTAGAAACCCCAGCACAGCTAATAGTTGATGACAGCTGGCACTCAAGAGAAAACCTATTTTCCTTGGCCTAGTGTGGTGGCTCACACCTGTAATCCCAGCACTTTGGGAGGCCGAGGTGGGCAGATCACCTGAGGTCAGGCATTCGAGACCAGCCTGGCCAACGTGGTGAAACCCTGTCTCTACTAAAAACACAAAATTAGCCGGGCGTGGTGGCAGGTGCCTGTAATCCCAGTTACTCGGGAGCCTGAGGCAAGAGAATCGATTGAACCCAGGAGGCAGACGTTGCAGTGAACCGAGATCGCACCATTGCACTCCAGCCTGGGTGACAAGAGTGAGACTCCGTCTCAAAAAAAACACCTGTTTTCCCCCTTGGGCTTCCACCTGGGGGCATGCAGGAATTGTGATGACCTCATTCTACAGGAAGTTTTTCCTTTAACAATATTTCTTAAGAGTGGAACTGCTAGATTATATAAAATTTTTAAAAATAATCATTTAGGGCAGAAAAAGTAGAGTAGCAATATTTATATACAGATTATTCATCTCTTAAAATGTATCTAGTGTTTCTCCAAGGGGGGGAAAAATCAGGTTTACAGAAAAAAATAAACTGTATTTCTCAGTTTAAAATTGTCTGTTTGTTGGGCTTCCTGACTTTTAGTCTCAAGTCCCCTGGCCCCTGAACAGTTCTAGAGAGCAAAGTGATGTCAGGAGCTTTTACAAGGACAACAGCTGAACAAATTCAAATGGGGACCTGTCCTGACTTTTAGGTGTTTTATTCCTATGGCTTAATTTTTTAAATTCTAAAGCTCTGGAGTAGTGATAAGACACCTACCCTGATCACCTTTACCCAGAAGATGTGGCAGGAGAGGCCAGGCCGCGTCCCTGGCAGCCATTTGCCGTTAGACAAGATGGACACTTTCAGGCTGGTATGGCTGTAAACCCGTTTGCCTTTAGAAAATACTTGGCTATGAACAATGCTTGCCTTCCCATCCAGCCTGATATGATTCACTCCTATATCATTTTTGTTCAAGAGAACAAAATCACCACACGCTTTTAATGGGCTATTGCATAATAAAACAAGTTGCTCAGTTGTATTTTCAAAATGTCAGACTTGGCAGTTTTAAAGCATCCCTCAGAAACCATGAAGGATTGGTTCTAGGACCCCTCAGATACCAGAATCCTTGGGTGCTCAAGTCCCTTATATAAGATGGCGTAGCATTGTGTATTTGCATATAATGTATGCACATCCTCCTGTATACTTTATTTATTTATTTTTGAGACGAAGTCCCTCCCTGTCTCCCAGGCTTGAGTGCAGTGGCGTGATCATGGTTCACTGCAACCTTCGCCTCCCAGTTTCAAACGATTCTCCTGCCTCAGCCTCCCGAGTAGCTGGGATTACAGGTGCATGTCACCACGCCTGGCTAAGTTTTACATTTTTCGTAGAGACAGGGTTTCATCATGTTGGCCAGGCTGGTCTCGAACTTCTGACCTCAAATGATCCACCGGCATCAGCCTCCCAAAGTGCTGGGATTACAGGCATGAGCCACCATGCCCCCTGTCCTGTATACTTTAAATCATCTCTGGATTACTTATAAGGTCAAATACAATCTAAATGCTATGTAAGTAGTTGTTACACTGCATTTTTAAGAAATAATGACAAGAAAAAAAGTCCGTACATGATCAGCACAGATGCAACGATCCAGTTTTTTTTCCCCGAATATTTTTCGTCTAAGGTTGGTCGAACCCACAGATGCACAACCAGTGGATACGGAGGGCTGCCTGTACTCCAGAAGTCATGCTAAGTTGGCTATGTCCCATCATGTAGACTGTTAACATTCTTGGCATTGGTATATACATTGGTGTGTTTTGGGTATTGGCGTACATCATGAACTTGTACTGTTCCCTTTGATGTTTGTTTGGGTCATGGGCAGTAGTGACCAAAGACTTGCCGCACAGATAGGAAGATACAACACATTGTCTGTCTCGCCTATATTTTAACCCAGCTCTTCTCAAACCTTAATGTATGTACAAACCCAAGGAAATCTTGTTGAGTTGCAGATTCGGATTCATTAGATCTGGGGCAGGGCCAGGCTCTGCAGCTCTAACTAGCTCCCGCGTGCTGCTCATTCTGCTGGTCTGCAGACCACACTTTGAGTGCAAAGTCGTTTCACTCCTCTTCTACCTGAACTTCTGGATTTGTTTTGTTTCCCCTCCAACAAGGTTACAAAGACTTCAGGTTTGAGACCAATGGAACCAAAAGATATCAAATCAGTTCGAGAATTAATCAACACTTACCTGAAGCAGTTTCATCTGGCTCCAGTGATGGATGAAGAGGAAGTAGCCCACTGGTTCCTCCCCCGGGAGCACATTATTGACACGTTTGTAGTGGAGGTAAAGACAAGGTGATAAACATAAAGCTTCTCCTTGAAGCACCCTTTGTGTTCAGCGTGCAGCAGAATTATTTACACACACTTCCTTCTATTTCATCACAGAACATTACAAAGATGTGTACTAAAGGGTAGAGAGTTAATAAGATTAATAATTCTGAATACTCTATCAAGGACATGCTTAAGTGAAACTGCCATTTGTTGAACCATGAGGGTGTGGTGTTGAGGAATATGGTAACCATGAGTGTGGTCTGGTGCCATTGTCTTGTTTTGTGCTAAGGCACCAGCAGCTTTACCCACAGCACTGCTTTGCACCGTTGATGCTGATGGTAACTTGTCAACAAGGCAAACAACTTCTTAGTGTTATGAAAATCATTTTGACCTCACAGATTTCTGAAAGGGTCTCAGGTACCCACAGGGTTCACAGACCACATTTTGGGAACTGCTTTCCAGGGCATATCATTAGAGCTGCTGAGTCTGTGGTTGGACCCATCTTTCACATTTTTAGAAATTGCCAAATAGCTCACCACAATAAGGTCCTGAGCAGTGTAAGAGAGTTCCTGTTTCCTTGCATCCTCACAAGACGTGGGTATGGTCAGATTTTAAATTTATTTAGGCCCACCTGATGAGTATGGAACAGTATCTTGTTAATTTATATCCTCATTGTTGATGAATTTGAGTATCTCATCAATCTGTTAGCCATGTTTATTTCTTTTATAAACTTGCTATTTACATCACTTGCCTGTTTTTTTTTTTTGACCGTAGTTGTCTTACTGATTTATGAAAGGTTTTTTGTTTGTTTGTTTTGAGATGGAATTTTGCTCTTGTTGCCCAGGCTGGAGTGCAGTGGCACAATCTCGGCTCACTGCAAACTCCACCTCCCAGGTTCAAGCTATTCTCCTGCCTCCGCCTCCCGAGTAGCTGGGATTACAGGCGTGCGCCACCATGCCCGGCTAATTTTTGTATTTTTAGTAGAGTCGGGGTTTCACCATGTTGGTCAGGCTTGGTCTTGAACTCCTGACCTCAGGTGATTCACCTGCCTTGGCCTCCCAAAGTGCTGGAATTATAGGTGTGAGCCACTGTGCCCAGCCCGTGAAAGGTTTTTTATATGCTGAATACTAACACTTTGTATTGCGTTCCTTTCTGGGTCCTCTATATTCTATTTCGTTGATCTCCATGTCTGTCTTTTCACTAATACCACACTGACCTCGTTGCTATAGCGATATAGGAAGCCTTAGTATCAGGTAGAGTAATTCCTCCCACTTTATTCTTGTTTGTCAAGATCATTTTAATTAACCTATTTCCTTTGCCTTTTGCATATACATTTTAGAATAAGCTTATTTTTGCCTACAAAATACCTTGCTGGTAGTTTGATAGGGATTACATTACACTGATAGATTAATTTGAGGATAATTGAAAAGTCTTCCAGTCCATGAACATGGAATGTCTCTACATTTATTTCGGTCTTTTAAAATCTCTTTTATCAGCATTCTCTAAGAGCATCCAGATCCTGTACATGTTTTCTTAAGTGTATAGCTAGATATTTCACTTTCTTTGGGGCGATTATAATGGTGTTGTGTTTTTAATTTCAGTTTCTGCATGTTCATTGTTAGCCTGTAGAAATGCTTTCTTTTGTGTGTTTGTATCCTACCACAGTGCTGAAATCACTTACTGGTTCCAGGAGTTTGTGTGTAGATTCCTTGTGATTTCTACATAGACAATGTGTCATCTGCAAATAGGGACAGCTTTATTGCTTCCTTTCCAATCTCGATGCCTTTATTTATTGGTCTTGCATTAATGCAGGACCTAGATCTTCCAGTGCTTTGTTGAGAAAGAGTGGGGAAGGTTGTCATCCTCGTCGTGTTCTTGATGGTGGGAGAAAAGCATTTACTCTTTCACCATGAAGTATGATGTTAGCTGTAGGTTTTTCTGTGGGTGCTCCTAATCAATTTGAGGTCATTCTCCTCTATTTCTAACTTGCTGAGAGTTCTTATGAATGGGCATTGGATTTTTTCCAGTGCTGCTTCTGCTTCAATAGATGTAATCATATGATTTTTCTCCTTTAATCTGTTGATATGTTAGATTACATTGATTGGTTTTCAAATGTTGGGTCACTCTTACATTCCTAGAAAATATCCACTTGGTCAGGGTGTATAATTATTTTTATACATTGTTGTATTGATTGCTAATATTTTGCTGAGTATTTGTTGAGTTCATGAGAGATATCTCTCTGGAGTGCCTTTTTTGTAATGTCTGTCTGGTTTAGATATCAAGATAATACTGGTCTCATAATAGGAGTTGGGAAGTATTATTTCCTCTTCTATTTTCTAGAAGAAATTGAGAATTGGTGTTAATTCTTTAAATGTTTGTTAGAATTCTCCAGTTGAAATGATCTGAGCTTAGCTGTTTCTTTTTTGGGAGTTTTTAAATAATGGACTAAATGTCTTTAATGGTTATAGCACTATTCAGATGATCTGTTTCATCTTGGTTGAGTTTTAATAGTTTTTGAGGAGTTCATCCATTTCTTCTAAATTGTTGAATGTATGAGTGTAATTAATGTTCATTTTATTCCCTTGTTATCCTTTTAGTGGCTGTGGGATCTGTACTGATATCTCTTCTTTCATACCAGATATTGGTGATTCGTGTCTTCTCTTTCTTTGTTTTTGTCCATATTGGTAGACTTGTATCATTTTATTGATTTGTTTCCCAGAGAACCAGACTTTTGTTGGATATTCCCTGTTGTCTTCCTGTTTTCAGTGTCATTGATTTCTACCCTCGTGTTTATTGTTTCCTTCTGTCTGCTTGCTTTGGGTTTATTTTGCTCTTCTTTTCTAGTTCCTTGAGGGAAGAACTTACTGACTTGAGACCTTTCCCTGTTACTAGTAAGCATTTAGTTCTATCAGTTTCCCTCTCTGCACTGCTTTAGCTATTTCTGACGTATTTTGGTATGTTGTATCTTCGTTGTCATTCACGTCTATGTATTTTTTGGTTTCGTTTGAGGCTTCCTCTTTAGCCCACCCCTACTTAGAATTGTGCTGTTCAATTTTGCTGTGTTTAGAGATTTTCTGTTGTCTCCCTATTACAGATTTCTAGTTTGATTCAATTATGGTTAAAGAACACACACTGTATGGTTTTGATTATTTTAAGGCTCTTGAGGTTTGTTTTATTACTCGGGATATGGACTGTCTTGATGGATATTCCATGGGTGCATGAAACGTGTATACCACTACGGTTGTGTGGAGTGTTCTTTGTATGGCAATTGCATCATGTTGATTAATTGAGTTATTCAGCTCTTCTGTTTCCATGCTGATTTTCTGTCTAGCAGTTCTATCACTTGATGAGAGGGGCATGGAAGTCCCCAGCTGTAATTGTGGATTTGTCTATTTCTCCTTCCAACACTGTCAGTTTTTCTTGATTTCTTCTGGGCCTCTTGTTTGATACTCACATGTATATTAGGGTCTTTGTGTCTCCCTAGTGGATTGATCTTTTTATCATAATGTAATACCTCTCTTTCTAATAATTTTCCTTGCTCTGGAGTATACTTTATTGTATATTACTGTGACCAGACCTGCTTTTAAAAATTGTTTGGACTTTTTCCATCCTTTTACTTTCAAACTATTGATGTTATTGAATTTGAAGTGAGTTTCTTGGAAACAGCCTATAGCTGGGTCATGTTTCTTTACCCACACTACTGATGTTTCTTTTGATTGGTGTATTTAGACCACTTACATAAAAGGTGATTATTGGTATGGTAGAGCTTAAGTCTACCATTTGATTATTTGGTTT
The DNA here is from genome assembly GCF_000001405.40 of Homo sapiens. Classification (NCBI taxonomy): domain Eukaryota; kingdom Metazoa; phylum Chordata; class Mammalia; order Primates; family Hominidae; genus Homo; species Homo sapiens. The sequence continues at coordinate 15,115,560 of NC_000010.11, read as the reverse complement.
CTTTATGTTTCTTCTGGTTCTTGTTCCTCTGTTTCTTTTTTCTTGCCTTGCTGTGGATTACTTGAATATATTTTAGGATACTGTTTTATTTATAGTACCTTTGGGTGTATTTGTATAGTTTTTATGATGGTTGATGTGAGTATTACAATATATATATGTGACTTATAGTCGATTGGTAACAACATTTATTACTTTGAGTCACCTTACTTTTATTTAGGTCACTTTACCTTTTTCATTTTTAAATATTGTTGTCTTAAATATCAGACAGTATTATGATTTTTGTTTTAATCATCAAGTATGATTTGTAACACTGATTAATAATGATGCTTGAGGAGAAGCATAATTTATTATATGTAGCCCAAATTTCTACTCTATTATTCTTCCCTCCTTCCTGATGCTTCAAGATTCCTTCTTTTATTATTTCCTTTCTATTTGAAGAAATTCCTTTAGCCAGTCTCAGGGTATGTCTGCTAGTGACACATTCTTTTGGTTTCCATTTGTGTGAGACTACCTCTGTTTTTAGATTTAGTTTCCCAATTTTTTTTTTTAATTTTTTTTGGAGACAGTGTCTTGCTCTGTCACCCAGGCTGGAGTACAATGGTGCAATCTCTGCTCACTGCAACCTCCGCCTCTTGGGTTCAAGCAATTCTTGTGCTCAGCCTCCTGTGTAGCTGGAACTACAGGCGCATGCCACCACACCCTGCTAATGTTTTGTATTTTAGTAGAGACGGGGTTTCACCACGTTGGCCAGGCTGGTCTCGAACTTCTGAGCTCAGAAAATCCACCCACTTTGGCCTCCCCAAGTGCTGAGATTACAGGCATGAGCCACCATGCCCAGCCCTAGTTTGCTAATATTTTACTTAGGATCTTCTATACTCACTACTGAGGTTGGCCATTAATTTCCCCTTCTTACCCTGTCCTTGTCCTGTCTTGATACCAAAGTTAGAATGAGCTGAAGAGCTTGTCCTCTCTTTTCTCTGGAACAGTGTATGTAATAATAGGGATTACTTGTTCCTTGAAAGTTGTTAGAAGTTGCTTATAAGCCATCTAGACATGGTGCCATGGTGGGTTTTGTTGTGAGCGGGGTTTTTTTGTTTTGTTTTGTTTTGTTTTGTTTTTTATCAGTCTTTACAATTGATTGGGTGTGAGGGACAATGGAAAGATCATCCCACTCTTCCCCAACAGTTGGTGATTCTCTGGTCATTTTAACAGCAAGAGAGGAAACAGTAATTTTACCAGCAATATGAATGTGAAGAAGTAGTTTTCTGAAAGCAGATGATGAAAATGGGGTGGGGAACCTAATCAGGTTCTGCAGGTGCCTGCAGTAATTCAGCGTATGAGATGGATATGAGAAATTCTTAGAAGAATCTAAAATCCTTATTAAACCTGAAGGTTGAATTCATCTCCAATACTGAGCTGCTAATATAGAGCAGTAGGGAATCACTGTAGATTAACCCCTTTAGTTTCTTGCTGGCTGAAGAAAGGTCTAATGACTCGGAAGCCTTTGAAAACCAAAGCATACATCCTTCTGGAATTTCCTTTTCTGCTGAAAGAAATACTAGCAGTGGCATGTGTGTGGTCCAGCCTCTTCAGCCGCACGATTCAAACACATCATATTCTAAAAGTCAGCAAGGCCACCACAGCTAATTACAACAACCCGAACAATACTGGCTAATTTCTTGTATTGGAAGCTTTGCCAGTGATGATGAAATGAATGTCATCCATTGTATCCCTTATTTTTGATAGCTGCAAAATTCTCCAGTTGTTCACATGTGTATATTTTGGTGCAGTAGTAAGACCTTTCACAAGCTTGCGAACTCTTCCAAACAGCTTCCAGACTCTACCCAACCTTACTTAGGCCTGATATAATTCTTTCTGTGTGCTAAGACAGTGTGAGATAGTACACAGTATCTTTTAGTTGGAGAAGGCAGCCCTCTAATCCTTAAAGCTTTTATTTCTGCAAAAACAATGAATCTGCTTTTATCACTGTTCCCTTAGTCTAAAGAATTGACTCATTTGTCAGCCTGAGGGAAGCTTTCCTTTTAGGACATTCTGCTTCTATCTTTCTTTCTTTTTTTTTTTTTTTTTTTTTTTTTTGAGTCTCATCCTGTCGCCCAGGCTGGAGTGCAGTGACACAATCTTGGCTCACTGCAACCTCCGCCTCTGGGGTTCAAGCGATTCTCCAGCCTCAGCCTCCCAAGTAGCTGGGATTACAGGTGTGCGCCACCACACCTGGCTAAGTTTTCATATCTTTAGTAGAGATGGGGTTTCACCATGTTGGTCAGGCTGGTCTCGAACTCCTGACCTCATGATCCACACGCCTCATCCTCCCAAAGTGCTGGGATTACAGGCATGACATTCTGCTTCCTAAGAACTTTGTGCAAATCACCAATGGGCACTTAGGCTGAAGTCCCAACTCCAGGCCCTTCTTGGCCTCTACACAGCACAATATAAGGGGCCCCAAATTGGACTGCCGAGAAAGAAGTGTGACTTACTGCTTTTCGTTCTCTGGGGCAAGGGAGAGAACAGAGTTAGTGGAAATGCACGTATGCAGTTGGTTCAAGGAGATCTCTGTCTGACAGCACTTTTGCTCCTAGAGCCCCAACGGTAAACTGACTGATTTCCTGAGCTTCTATACGCTCCCCTCCACGGTGATGCACCACCCTGCTCACAAGAGCCTCAAAGCCGCCTACTCATTCTACAACATCCACACAGAGACGCCCCTGCTGGACCTCATGAGCGACGCGCTCATCCTGGCTAAATCGGTAAGCCACTCCTTCCTGTTCACGCCGTTTGGTTCTCCAAATGTCTGTGCCAAACTATAGAAGACATCTTACTGTGTTTTCTTCCACACAGGTGGAATTTATGCGAGACTTTAAAAAAACTATTGATCATCAGTCAAAGGAAGAATTTTGATAAGAGTTTCTTTTGAAACTTTAGAGGCTATTTTCATCATTAATTTTATGGCAGTTTAACAAAAAAGACAAAATGTACAAATTATAAATGTTTAATCCTTATATAAGAATATATAAGGCTGGGCATGGTGGCTCAGGCTTGTAATCCCAACACTTTGGGAGGCCGAGATGGGTGGATCACCTGAGGTTAGGAGTTTAAGACCAGCCTGGTTAATATGGTGAAACCTCGTCTCTACTAAAAATACAAAAGTTAGCCAGGCTTCGTGGTGTGTGCCTGTAATCCCAGCTACTCGGGAGGCTGAGGCAGGAGAATTGCTTGAACCTGGGAGGCAGAGGTTGCAATGGAGCTGAGATTGCACCACTGCACTCCAGCCTGGGTGACAGAAACTGTCTCAAAAAAAAAAAAAAAAAAAAAAAAAAAAAAAAAAATATATATATATATATATATATATATATATATATATATATATAAAGCCCATATCTTAGGAAGTAATATAAGGAAAATATTAATACATGAGTGAATATTTTTGTTGAGTGAATAACTAGCAGCAATTTTTTTATTCAACCAAATAGTCTCTGAATTTTAAAATTAAAGGAATGAAATTCAAAATTTAATTGTAGCCAGTCTACATGGTGAAACCCTGTCTCTACTAAAAATACAAAAATTAGCAGGGTGTGATAGCACACACCTGTAATCCCAGCTACTCGGGAGGCTGAGGCAAGAGGATTACTTGAACCTGGGAGTTGGCGGTTGCAGTGAGCCGAGATTGCACCATTGCATTCCAGCCTGGGCCACAGAGTGAGACCCTGTCTCAAATTAATTAATTAATTAAAATAAAATAAAATAAAAATCTCTTACCTGTGCCTTTGGATCCCCAAGTCAACATCATCCTCAGATTGTCTGCTTTTTTTCAACACTTCCCAAATATGGCCAGTAATTAGTTATTTAAGGTAAAAACCCTGAGAAATAAAAATAAAAAGTGCTTCTTCTATATCACATTTTGCATAGTATTATTGTCTGACATTTTAAAGAAATTTAATTTTTTACCATTAAAATTTTACATAAATATATTTCCCATTATCAGCCCAAAGCAAACATACTATTTTTTTATACTTTTTTTTTTTTTTTTTTTTTTGAGATGAGTCTTGCTGTGTTACCCAGGCTGGAGTGCAGTGGCACAGTCTCGGCTCACTGCAACCTCTGCTTCCCATGTTCAAGTGATTCTCTTGTCTCAGCCTCCAGAGTAGCTGGGACTATAGGTGTGTGCCACCACACCTGGCTAATTTTTGTATTTTTAGTAGAGACAGGGTTTCATCATATTGACCCGGCTGGTCTCGAACTCCTGACCTCAGGTGATCCACCTGCTGCGGCCTCCCAAAGTGCGGGGATTACAGGCGTGAGCCACCACGCCCGGCCTGCATACTATTTAAAGTCTTTACAACTTTGGTCCCTGGGCAATAGCTTCAGCCAAGGTAGGACTTAGAAAGGCTAATAATTAATAATCCTGGAGATGAAACCATCTTGACAACTGTTCCCTTCTAAAACAAGAACGAGGCTGGGTGCAGTGGCTCATGCCTGTAATCCCAGCACTTTGGAAGGCCAAGGCAGGTGGATCACTTGAGGTCGGAGTTCAAGACCAGCCTGGCCAACACGGTGAAACCCGGTCTCTACTAAAAATACAAAGAAATTAGCTGGGCATGGAGGTGCACACCTGTAATGCCAGCTACTAGGAAGTTTGAGGCAGGAGAATTGCTTAAATCTGGGAGGTGGAGGTTGCAGTGAGCCGACATCATGCCACTGTATTCCAGCCTGGATGACAGAGTGAGACTCCATCTCAAAAAAATTTAAAAATAAATAAATAAAACATAAATAAAATATTTTCTGAAATCTTCATAAGTAATTTTATGCCAGTGACAGCCATCATACTACATTTTTAACATTTTTGGGATTCAGCGTTTCTGAATTTTCATGCTGACTTCATTGGATTCACTATAGTTTGTTTGTTTTTTGAGACAGGCGCTCACTCTGTTGCTCAGGTTTAAGTGCACTGGCACAATCACAGCTCACTGCAGCCTCGACCTCTTCGGCTTATGCAATCCTGCCTCAGCCTCCTGTGTAGCTGGGTCCACAGGCACACACCACCATGCCGAGTCAATCTTTTTATTTTTGTAGAGACAATGTCCTGTACCTACACCTACACCTATACCTACAGCCTATGCCCAGGCTGGTTTCAAATTCCTGGGCTCCAGTGAGCCTCCCACCTTGGCCTCCCAAAGTGCTGGGATTACAGGCGTGAGCCACCACATCCAGCCACACTGCTAGTTTTATAAGACAATTTTCAACTGAATTCTTCCTCTTTTTAAAGAAAGAAAAAAAAAAAGTCTCACTCTGTCGCTCAGGCTGGAGTGCCGTGGCACAATCTCGGCTCACTGCCACCTCTACCTCCCAGGCTCAAGCAGTTCTCCTGCCTCAGCCTCCTGAGTAGCTGGGACTGCAGGTGTGCGCCACCACATCTGGCTTATTTTTGTTATTTTTAGTAGAGATGGGGTTTCGCCATGTTGGTCAGGCTGGTCTCGAACTCCTGACCTCAAGTGATCCACCCACCTCAGCCTACCAAAGTGCTGGGATTATAGGCATGAGCCACAGCATCCGGCCCTGAATTCTTAACCTATGCTATATATCACGGACGTTAAATCCTATTAGAAATGCATATTCGAGCTATTAGTAGAATTGTTAAACTGAGATATGTAATACAGAAAACACTAGTCCTTTGTTTTAAATTTTAAATCTTTTTTAAATTGGCAGAAAGGATTTGATGTATTCAATGCACTGGATTTGATGGAAAATAAGACATTCTTGGAAAAACTCAAGTTTGGTATAGGAGATGGCAATTTGCAGTATTACCTGTACAATTGGAGGTGTCCAGGTACAGATTCTGAAAAGGTAAGTGAAATGGATATAGCCCTTGTAAACTCAACAAATGTACCTAGACAATTTCATACTTGCTTCACTTAGACTTAAGACAGCTTTATTTTATTTTTGTTCATTTTATTTATTTATTTATTTATTTTTTTGAGATGAAGTCTCGCTCTGTCCCCCAGGCTGGAGTGCAATGGCATGATCTCAGCTCACTGCAACCTCCGCCTCCCAGGTTCAAGTGATTCTCCTGCCTCAGCCTCCCGAGTAGCTGGGATTACATCCACCACCATGCCTGGCTAATTTTTTCATTTTTAGTAGAGATGGGGTTTGACCATGTTGGCCAGGCTGGTCTCAAACTCCTGACCTCAGGTGATCCGCCTGCCTTGGCCTCCCAAAGTGCCGGGATTACAGGTGTGAGCTGAGCCTTAAGACAGCTTTTAGAAAGACAGATCTATTGTACTACATTGCAATCTAATTTTTCTTACTATTCCATTTCTTCCCTCCCTTCAGGTTGGACTAGTACTACAATAGATGGATATTTTTATTTCTAGAACTCTGACATCATCATTTGTTAATATTTAATGATTTCTGGAACTGCCATTCCAAAGAAGAATAAAAGCACAACTCAAGTGAAATTGAAGTAGTCGATAATCAGAAAAGATGACAAAAGTCCACATGTGACATTTGTACGTTTCTAGCTAGAATGTTAAACTTCATCCTTTTTTTACTGTTGACCTATTTGTGGGAGGGATGAAAGGCTACAAAGAGCACATTCTTGTAATTTTCAAATTTTTGCCTGTCTCTTGAAGAGGTATTTTTTCACCCTTAGAAAAGGGACTGTTTTTCTATGGACTAAGTAGAAGTTACAGAGTCATGTAAGAAAATCTTTGCTATTGTGTGGAGAGAAATTGCTGCATTTCTGTTTCTTAAGTGATGGTACATTTGTCCATGTAACAGAACAAAAGATCCATTTGGAAATTTTTTTTACTGGTATCACCTTACATGGTATCACTGGGAACATTTATGGAATCAACACTTCTGTAGCTCAGTGACAGGTGGTGGTTGTTTAAGTGCAGAGCAATATTAAAATGTACTGGTGACTAGTACATGTATTTCTCCATAAGCAGAGTTGCCGAATCAATAAACATGCAAGTTTGTACTTTGATCTTTACCAGGTCAGTGGATTGCTTCAAAAGCAGAGTTTTGTGCAAGCACTCACTGTGCTCTCTGAAAGAGCCTGAGGCCGGGCGTGGTGGCTCACGCCTGTAATCCCAGCACTTTGGGAGGCCAAGGTGGGCAGATCATGAGGTCAGGAGATCGAGACCATTCTGGCCAACATAGTGAAACCCCATCTCTACTAAAAATACAAAAATTAGCCGGGCGTGGTGGCGTGTGCCTGTAGTCCCAGCTGCTTGGGAGGCTGAGGCAGGAGAATCGCTTGAACCTGAGAGGTGAGGTTGCAGTGAGCCGAGATCGAGCCACTGCACTCCAGCCTGGGTGACAGAGCGTGAGACTCCGTCTCAAAAAAAAAAAAAAAGAAAGAGCCTGTACCCGCGACTAACTAGACTTTTCTGCTGTTGTGCAAAGTTCAGTTTCTTCTCAGCAACATCAAGGATATATGAAGAAAAGGAAATAAAAAACTGTAAAGTCAAAAGAGATGCCTGGTGGAACTTATTCGTGCTATCAGGGCATTGATAGTTTGAATGTTTTTATTACTTATGCAAAATTGCACATACTCCTCTATGCTGATTTTATCATGAAAACTGTCATGTGTCATGCTAATGGAAAATGTCTTATTTGTAAATAAGTATTCATAATTTTGTTACTGATGGTGTTTTTAATCTAGAATTTGAAAAACTTTCATGGCTTACAGATGTGTGTTTATATTGCCAATAATCTGCGGGAAAAATAAGATGCTAACCGAGGCCACGTAGCCTGGCCTCAACTCAGATACCACAAAGTAGATGCCTTGGCTGGGTGTGGTGGCTCACGCCTGTAATCCCAGCACTTTGGGAGGCCAAGGCGGGCGAAACATTTGAGGTCAGGGGTTCGAGACCAGCCTGGCCAACATGGTGAAACCCCATCTCTACTAAAAATTCAAAAAGAACTAGCTGGGTGTGGTGGCGGGTGCCTGTAATCCCAGCTGCTAGGAGGCTGAGGCAGGAGAATCACTTGAACCCAGGAGGCGGAAGTTGCAGTGAGCCAAGATCGTGCCACTGCACTCCAGCCTGGGTGACAGTGCAAGACTCCGTCTCAAAAAACAAAAGTAGATACTTTTCCCTGCTTTTACTGGGCCAGTGCCTAGGAAGTTCAGTGCAGAAGTTAATTGTTTTAGACATGATGGCATTTCCTTCAAGTTATGAGTCCAGTGAAACCAATCATATCTTATCCCAGGCAGGGGCCACCAAACTATGGCCTGTGGGCTAAATCCAGCCCATTGCTTATTTTTGTGTAGCCCACAGGCTAAGAATGTTTTTATTTTCTGGAATGGTTGAGGAGAAAAAGCCAAAAAATGACATCATTTTGTGACATGTGCAAATTACACAAAATTCAAATTCCGGTGTCCCTCAATAAGGTTTTATTGGAACATAGCCATACTTTTTTTTTTTTTTTTTTTAGGACAGGGTCTCACTCTATTGTCCAGGCTAGAATACAGTGGCACAGTCAACAGCTCACTGCAGCCCCAAACTCCTGGGTTAAAATGATCCTCCTGCTTCAGCGTCTTTTTGAAGAAAAAGAACTAGCTGGGCGTGCATACCACCACGCCTGGCTAAGTTTTTCATTTTTTGTAGAGACAAGGTCTTGCTATGTTTCCCGTGCTGGTCTTTAACTCCTGGCCTCAAGTGATCCTTCTGCCTTGGCCTCCCAAAGTACTGGGATTATAGACATGAGCCACCACTCTTGGCCACAGCCACTTTCATTTACATATTGCCTATGGCTGCTTCACACTACAAAGCTGAGTTGAGTTGTTGTGACAGATTGTGTGGCCTGCAAAGCCTAAGATATTCACTCTCTGGTCTTTTACAGAAAGTTTGTTGACCTTGGTCACTACGAAGGAGTTGGAACTCTCCTTTCTATAGGTTGCCGTGATTCTAAAGACCAACCCACAGCTGTGACATCCCTGAGACTACCACCAGAGGGCGACTGGGCCCCACAGTAGTACATAATATAGGACCTCTCTTGGAGATAATGGAAGACTTGGAATTTCAGATGGTTCCACCCTAATTGCATTAGCGTTCTTTCTTAACAGGAGAAAGGCTTCAAGAAACAAAACAGTCCTCATTCACTGGAACAGGGTTTGAGATACCAGCATTAAGTAAATGAGATTTTGACTTAACCTGGAGTCAAGGCTCTAATTTAGGACTTTACTTCCCACTCATTTTCATGCCACAAAGTCTATACAAAGTAGGTTTTCAAATAATTGCAGAATCAGCCAGGCACGGTGGCTCACACCTGTAATCCCTGCACTTTGGGAGGCCAAGGTGAGCAGATCACTTGAGGTCAGGAGTCTTGAGACCAGCCTGGCCAACATGGTGAAGCCCTATCTCTACTAAAATTACAAAAACTAGCCGGACATGGGGGTGTGCACCTGTAATCCCAGCTATTCAGGAGGCTGAGGCAGGAGAATCGCTTGAACCCAGGAGGCGGGGTTGCAGTGAGCCGGGATCACACCACTGCACTCCAGCCTGGGCAACAGAGTGAGACTCTATCTCGAAAGTAAAATAAATAACTGCAGCATTGCCAGTTGGAAACTTTGTCATGAGCTTACCTCACGGTGACAGTTACACTGCTCCTTTAAAGAGTCATTTACATAATTTGTTATCAAATTATTAACCACTTTTAAATAGAATAATAACTACATTTGCCTCCATAATTGAAGCAGATTACTAATTAACATTTTCGAGAATTAAACTGCTTGCTTATGAAGTAGCTATTAAAACTAAATTGAAATGCAATGGATAGTTTCTTGTAGATTTAAAACTGCATTGTACTGTACTTTGTCTATAATGAAAATGTTCTATTCAATAAGGTATCTTTTTTTCTTCTTTTTGGCCAAGATGGCACTAAGTAAAATTTAAATCGAGAGATGGCATAATCCATGAGTCAGCCAGACTTTCAGCTGGAAAAATCTTTAGTAAATACCTTCCTTCTAAATTACAGAAAGTAACTTTTCCATACACACTGTAAACAGCAGACACTCTAACAGAGCATCGGTTATGCTCCATCTCCTAACCTGAAGGACTCTTGTCACACACCCACCTCTGAGAACCCAAGCTCCTCAGTTTTTTTAATCTTTTGGCCACATTTCATCCAATTACCATCATACCTTTTATACGTTAGATTTCCAAGGAGGTAAGTGAATCACGTAATGGGGGTGAACTGTACCCAGTCAAAATAACCTTATCTGACTTTTTCTATATTTTTGATATTTTTTCTCTAAATATTAAGTCTTTCTCCCAAGCTCATGTCTATTCCTTCCTAAAAGTCAAATTGACATGAAGTGAAAAATGATGTGTTGCTTCTGAAGACAATGGATTGCTTGGCATTTGGGATCTTTCCTTTAAAACTGATAATGCTTCCCCAATTCAGTTCCATCTACCTGACTGACTAGAACATTTACTGTGGTACATTTTCCAGGTTTGATAGGAAAATGCTAAGCGTTGTATGACACAGATATTCTTGCTCACAGGCACTCTACCAGCCTTTGAAAAAGTCAATTTAGGCTGGACGCGGCTGCTCACGTCTGTCATCTCAGCACTTTGGGAGGACAAGGCAGGTGGATCACGAGGTCAGTTCGAGACCAGCCTGACCAACATGGTGAAACCCCATCTCTACTAAAAATACAAAAAAATGAGCTGGGTGTGGTGGTGGGCACCTGCAATCCCAGCTACTCAGGCGGCTGAGACAGGAGAATCGTTGAATCTGGGTGGTGGAGGGTGCAGTGAGCCGAGATTGCGCCGCTGCACTCCTGCCTTGGCGACAGAACGAAACTCTGTCTCAAAAAAAAAAAAAAAAAGGCCAGGCACGGTGGCTCGCAGCTGTAATCCTAGCACTTTGGGAGGCTGACGTGGGCAAATCACGAGGTCAAGAGACGGAAACCATCCTGGCCAACATGGTAAAACCCCGTGTCTACTAAAAATACAAAACTTAGCTAGGCATGGTGGTGCGCACCTGTAGTCCCAGATACTTGGGAAGCTGAGGCAGGAGAATTGCTTGAACCCGTGAGGAGGAGGTTGCAGTGAGCTGAGACCGCACCATTGCACTCCAGCCTGGACAACAAGAGTGAAACTGTCTCAAAAAAAAAAAAAAGAAAAAGAAAAAGTCAATTTACACACGCATGAACACTAGTTTCAATAAATGTCTGTTTGGCTATTCCTAATTTTGAATATTTCCTGCACTTAGTATATCTGTGCCATAGTTACAAAGAGTCTTACACATTTGAATATTACCAAACAGGACCCTATGAATCTATGTAAGTATAACTCATTTTATTAGTTTCAAGGCTTCTTTACAAGGTGTCCTTTCACAAACTGTATGACATGACAAGTTTATGCAAGATTACTTTGGAGTAGCTTTTTTACTTTTGGGTGGTTTCCTTATCTTATTAGGGTTTGGAATCAGTTTCTTTATTTTAAGGGGTTGTAATGTTACAGAAGCCTGCCGACCGTCAGCAAGCTTTCTCTTAGGTTTTGACAGATCTTCAAATGAAGTGTCCAAAAGCTCTCTGTCTTGGCTTTCCAGAGGTTCAGTCTCTAAATTTTCCCCAGAATCTTCAATTCTGTCTTGAAGCCATGGTACACTTAAACTGGGGACTCTGGGGATGATGGCTCTTACTTCGTCCACAAAGTCAGTGGTGTTCTTTTTGAACGCCAAGGCTAGAACACATTTTAAGCCAATGACGGGGGCGATTCTCTCACTGAGCCGGGGGACCTGACAGGCAGGGACACTTCTGCTTAGGCTTAACTGAATCAAGTGTGAGGTGATCATGGCAGGCTTGACTGATTTACACACCAGAACTAACAGCAGTTCCCTCCTTTCCAGGGCTCTGGTAACTTCGTTAACGCCAATGGCAAGCTGCTTCCTGACGTGTGCAGGCGTCCACCCTGACACTTGCTGCTTAGCATCTGTTTTCTTCTCCTTCAGATTCTCACTAATATCAACAGCAATGCTGCATTTCTCTCTGCTTTCTTTTTTCAGAAAAGGTGTTTTGTTCTTTTTCTTCTTATCTTCAATCTTCTGAAGTCCAATAGCTTTAAGCCTGTCCTCAAGCGTCTGTAGGATGAAGTGCATATCCTCGCTCTCCAGAGCGCTCCAGCGGATGATGTATGGGTTGTTCAACGACGTCTTCACAACCAGAGGTCTCGTCTTACGGAGAGATCCCCGCCCCGGTGCTTGAGGAGCTGCAGCCATTTTGAAAATCCTTCCAAGAAGCAAAATGACAACAGAAAAAATTCATGTTAGCGACAACTGCATGACTTAAGAATATCTTGACTGTACTCTCTGATTCTTATTTATTTATGTATTTATTTTTTGAGACAGAATTTCACTCTTGTTGCCCAGGCTGGAGTGCAGTGGCACAATCTCAGCTCACTGCAACCTCCACCTCCTGGGTTCAAGCGATTCTCCTGCCTCAGCCTCCCGAGTAGCTGGGATTACAGGCGCCCGCCACCAAGCCCAGCTAATGTTTCTATTTTTTTTTAGTAGAGACAGGGTTTCACCATGTTGCCCAGGCTGGTCTCAAACTCCTGACCTCAGGTGATCCACCCACCTCGGCCTCCCAAAGTGCTGGGATTACAGGCATGAGCCACTGCGCCCGGCCTGTACTCTGATTCTGGATAAGCTAGAGCAAGCCTGATTATATAAGTCCAATTAGGTGAGCATACGCTTGTCTTCCTTTTAAAGATTAAGTAATTTTATTTTTCCCCATTTTTCTTACCCGATTTTGAATGCTCTACGAAGGCTCTTTAAAATACTCAGGACTATGGGTGAGTAGTGTTTAATTTTCCCCATTTTTTTATATGACTTTGTCTTTATTCCTATACAAGCAATATGTGAAAGTTTTAATTATTGCAATCATAGTACAATTCCATTTGTCTATTTCATTTATTAAAAATATTCTGTTTCTACTTGTTCATAATTAACCTTCTAGTGACTGTATGGTATTAATCTTCTAACTTGTTACTGTTTTCCAAAATGCTATCTAGTTGGGCTTCCATGCATTCACTCAACAAATATTCTAGGCCTGGCACACTGGCTCATGCCTTCAGTCTCAGAATTTCGGGAGGCTGTGGTGGACAGATCACTTCAGCCCATGAGTTCGAGACCACTCTGAGCAAATGGAGAAACCCTCTACAAAAAATACATAAATTAGCTAAGTGTGAGGCGTACCTGTAGTCCCAGCTACTTGGGAGGCTGAGGTGGGAAGATCACTTGAGCCCAGGAGGTCAAGGATGCAGTGAGCGTGATTGTGCCACCACACTCCAGCCCAGTAACACATCTGACCCTGTCTGCAAAAAAAAAAAAAAAAAAATGATCTGAGCACCTCCAGTATGCAAGTGGTGTTCTAGGTCCTGGGGCTCACAGTAAGCAAGACCCGATGTCCACCCACGTAGAGCTCCCAATCTGCAAATACTCTGGTGGCCTCTGCCATTCACAACCAATCAGGTGTGATATTTTAAAGAACTGAACAGTCATCTCATGATTAAAACTTCAAATAACACTGTCACGTCCACTTTTGTAAGTCTCCCCACCTCCCAGGGCCCTAAATTTCTTGAATATCCTTCCTACAGCATTTGATACATATGCAGGCATACACTCCCTTTTTTTTGTTTTTTGAGACGGAGTTTTGCTCTTGTTGCCTAGGCTGGAGTGCAATGGCATGATCTCAGCTTATTGCAACCTCTGCCTCCCAGATTCAAGCGATTCTCCTGCCACAGCCTCCGGAGTAGCTGGGATTATAGGTGCCCAACACCACGCCTGGCTAATTTTTGTATTTTTAGTAGAGATGGGGTTCACCATGTTGGCCAGGCGGGTCTCGAACTCCTGACCTCAGGTGATTCACCCACCTCAGCTTCCCAGAGTGCTGGGATTACAGGAACGAGCCACCACTCCCGGCCAGTCCTCCTTTTTAGGGGGACCCCGAGCTGACTTCTCTGGCTGGCAATTCCATGAAGACTAGGGAAATGTAATGAAATTTAAAGATACTAATCCATTGAGGAAAAATGAGTAGAAGGATGCTTAATGGGGAAAATGTTATAAACTATTGGTCCAGAGGGCATATCCTTTTATCCTTCCCAGAGGCAACTACACACTCCCTTCTCTTCCCTCAGTTTTCTTCCCTTCCTTCCTGGGGCTCAGCTAGAATCACAGGGACCCACCTGGCAAAACTAAAGGAAGTTATATCCTTTGCATTTATACTACCACTTACTAGGCTGGCAGCTGATGTTGAAGGCAAGTGTGTCTGTGCAGTGTATCGCTGTATAAAGCACTCTCTCCATGTATTATTTGCTTCTTACAGCATTCCTATAGAATCCCCCAATGTGTGCATTAGGAAACTGACTCACTGCCTAAAGTCACAACTAGTTTTCCAAATCCAAGTTTTCTGTTCTTTCAATCCTTGCTACACCTCAAAAATAACCTGTGGCTTCTTAAAACATGCAGATGCTTGGTCCTCAACCCAGATCTACTGAATTGGAATCTTCAATAATAAGGCCTGGGCATCTGTGCTTATAAAAAGCTGCCCCAGGCCGGGTGCAGTGGCTCACGCCAGTAACCAAAGCACATTGGGAGCCCAAGGCGGGCGGATCATAAGGTCAGGAGTTCGAGACCAGCCTGGCCAATATGGCGAAATCCCGTCTCTACTAAAAAATACAAAAAAATTAGCCAGGCATGGTGGTGCCTGCCTGTAATCCCAGCTACTTGGAGGCTGAGGCAGGAGAATCTCTTGAATCCAGGAGACGGAGGTTGTAGTGAGTCAAGATCGCGCCACTGCATTCTAGCCTGGGCGACAGCAAGACTCCATATCAAAAAAAAAAAAAAAGTTGCCCTCGTGAATCTGATTCAGAGCCGGAATCAGGAACCACTGGTGTAGGACAGGGTGTTTCCACACTGGACAGCCCCGAGAAAGGGCCCCCTGAGCGCTATTGGTCTCTGATATTCTTCCCAGACACTTTCCCACAGAAAAGCCAAATTCAGCTCCTTAGGGTGAGAGATCACACCCTGGTCATCTCGGTACAGCAATCCTGGAGACTTCTGGGGCCTAAGCTGCTTCCTTCACGGTGGCCACACTGTGTCCCCTGACCCCATTATCTCTATGCTCCCCTAGAGCTCAGGAAATCAGGAAGAAAAGTGGCTCATCCAGATGCAATGCAGTGACTGTGAGGGGCTGGCATCAGGTTCAAAGTGGTCAGGAAGAGGGAAATAAGTGACAGGGGGTGAAACAAATAGGATGGGGCAGAGCTCTTGCCAACTGCAAGTCAGATGATGTCTCCACATCCAAACACCACAGAATAAATACTTAAAATCATGCTCCAGAGGGATCACAAAACAGGCTATAAACTTGTCCCACCTGCAGAATCTGCTGGGGCGATAAAGAGAGCCAAGTAGTCTGGATAAGCATAATCTCACGCAATATAATCCAGAAACAAAGTACTGACTGATAAGATTTTATAGCTTTAGAGAAAGAGAGAAAAATAGGCTTTGCTGAGGGCCCTTTAGAGCTGTCTCAAGAGGCCTCTGCTGCCTGTAGATCAAGGGCAAACTCTTTTTACTAGACAGTCTTGCCCTGTCACCTGGCAGTAGTGCAGTCGTTCGATCATGGCTCACTGCAGCCTTGAACTTCTGGGTTCAAGCAATCCTCCCACCTCAGCCTCATGCTGAATAGCTGGGATTATAGGCGCATACCACCAAGCCCAGAAAATTTTTTTAATTTTTAAATTTTCTGTATAGGCTGGGCACGGTGGCTCACACCTGTAATCCCAGCACTTTGGGAGGACAAGCTGGACAGATCACTTGAGGTCAGGAGTTCGAGACCAGCCTGGCAAATATGGTGAAACCCAGTCTCTACTAAAAATACAAAAATTAGCCAGGAGTGCTGGTGCACACCTGTAATCCCAGCTACTTAGGTGGGTGGCTGAGGTAGGGGAATTGCTTGAACCCAGAAGGCGGAGGCTGCAATGAGCCGTAATTGCACCACTGTGCTCCAGCCTGGGCAATGGAGTAAGACTCCGTCTTAAAAAAAAAAAAAAAAGAAATTCTATAGAGACAAGGTCTTGCTTTGTTGCCTGGGCTGGTCTTCAACTCCTAGGCTCAGGCAATCCCGTAGCCTCGGCCTCCCCAAAAGTACTGGGATTGAGGGCATGAGCTACCATGCCCCGCCTAAACTCTAATGTGACATAAAAGGCCCTCCACACTCCAGCTCAATCTCCCACTTAGGCCCTCTTTCTCCTTAGGCCCCACCAAGCACAAGTCCTCAACACCGAACAACATACTATTTAATGAGGCCAGCATTTTCCCACCTGCAAGTCTTTATACACATTAGTCCCTCTGCCTGGAATACCACTCCCACCCTCAGCCGCAGGCCCCTTCCTTTCTTCAACAAATATTTATCGATTATCCACGATGTGCCAGGCCATAAAGATTAAGTATTTTTTCTCACAGACCTCATGAGCTTAGAGTCCACGAGGAAAAAATATTAGCAAGTAATTATACAATAAAGCCTGATGCACATGAAGGTCAGGGAACAGTATGCTTAGGGAACATCCAGCAGAGGCCTAGCTTAGTTGAGGGGGGTGGGAAAAGGCAGTCCTCACAGAGGAACTTTTTTTTTTTTTTTTTTTTTTGAGACGGAGTCTCATTCTGTCGCCAGGCTGAAGTGCAGTGGCACAATCTCGGCTCACTGCATCCTCCGCCTCCAGGGTTCAAGCGATTCTCCTGCCTCAGACTCCCGAGTAGCTGGGACTACAGGCACGGGCCATCACGCCCGGCTAATTCTTGTATTTTTAGTAGAGACGGGGTTTCACCATGTTGGCCAGGATGGTCTCGATCTCCTGACTTTGTGATCCGCCCGCCTCGGCCTCCCAAAGTGCTGGGACTACAGGCGTGAGCCACCGCGCCGGGCCGGACCTCTTAACCTACATCTAAACAATGCCTACCAAAGGAAGTATGGAGTAAAGAAAGGTATCTCAGTATTAAAAGAAATAAGTTGGCTGGCGAGGTGGCTCACGCCTGTAATCCCAGCACTTTGGGAAGCCCAGGCGGGCGGATCACTTGAGGTCAGTAGATCGAGACTAGCCTGACCAACGTGGTGACCCGTCTCTACTAAAAATACGAAAATTAGCCGGGCGTGGTGGCAGGCGCCTGTAGTCCCAGCTACTCGGGAGGCTGAGGCAGGAGAATCGCTTGAACCCGGCAGGCGGAGGTTGCAGTGAGCCGGAATCGCGCCACTGCACTCCAGCCTGGGCGACTGCTATGTCTCAAAAAAAAAAAAAAAAAAAAAAACACGTTCAAATAAGTTCAATGTGGCTGGGGCAGAGATGCTAGAGAAAGCGGTGAGAAACTAGGAAAGGTGGGTAAGGACCAGATAATGAAGACCTTTGCAAGCGTTCCAGTGTGAAGCAACTTTAACATCTAAAGCAGAGGTGTCGTGATTAGAAAGACGTTATAGATCTTTGTGGATCTGGGCAAAGGAAGAGTCCCCGAGCAGCAAAGACGCTCCTGGAGTCGTCCAGGTTAGAAATGACGGTGGCCTGCACTAGAGACGCCGCAGAAAGGACTGGAGAAAAATACATGTTAGTCGGAAAAGAAGGTAGAATCTCCCGACACAGTAGTGACCAGCTGGAAGTAAAGTTGAGAACGGTATTGGTGGTGACTCCCGGTTTCTGGATCCCGCCGGTAGCCGAGGGGCGACGGCCGACCCAAAGCTCACCTCCCCACTGCACGCCGCCCCTGGATCGAGTACCTTGGTGCTTTACTATTTAGCACACGGAAGTGTTGTTCTGTTGTCCGTGTCTCCTTGGAGACCGTGGAGAACAGAAGGGCCGGCGGGGGTTTTCGCTTTGTACTCCTGGTGCCCAGCCGGCGCTGCAATCCAGCAGAGGAGCCGGACTAGAAACGCGGAAGCTCTGGGTGCACGCGCCCGGCCCGGGACTGGGCGGCCCAACCGGGAGGGCGGCGGGTCCTGCGGCCACGCAACAGGCGTTGGGGAAGCAGCAGAGACCCTGCGTGCGCGCGGGCTTCGGCCTCCAGATTCCGCAGAGTCCCGGGCCCGATCCCCCCGGGGCTGGCCTCCTGCCCTACGTGGGCCCCGCGCGCCCACCTGGAACTCACGATGGCGAATCCGTGGTCACCTGAAGGCAACAGCACCGGCGCCCAGTGCGCCTGCGCCGCGCGTGCGCAGAGCCCTCGCCTCCCGGCCTCGCCTCGCAGACGCGACGGGCCGGGGAGGAAGCGCTCGGAGCAGTGCAGGTTTCGTTATCCTGTGTTAGGTCACTCCGGAGAGGGGAAAGCGGCCCACAGCGTCGCGCGACCCGGAAACGACACAACGAGGCCCAATCTTTTAGACTCGAGTTTAGGCCCCGGGGTGGAGTCTCCGGACCGGGTCCCCCCACCCCCGCTACAGGGGCAGTGCGCAGGCGCGAGGTATGTATCGCGAGACCATGCGGTTGCCCGGGTAACCAGACGCTCAGGACTTGGACCGTCCAGTTGTTCGGAGGCCAGCCTATAGCCAATGGTATCCCGAGGGCTCGCTCTCTCCGGGCGTTTGTGCTCCCCTCTCTCTTCTAACCCAGTTTCTACCTTTCAGTGCTTTGGAATCTTAGCCCTCTGTCTCTATTCGCTTTTCTGTATTTGCCTTGCCTCAGGGACGCACAACCCCAGCCCCTGTCCCAGTGAGCCCGTCGCCATGGAATCCCTGCAGACTCCCCAGCACCGCGAAAATCAAGATAAAAGGGAGAAGGAGTATGGGGTAAAACACATGCCTATGGGCAATAATGCAGGGAATCTTGAGCCCGAAAAGAGAAAGGCAGTAAGAGTTGCCTTGAGTTCAGCAACAGCTGCACAGAATATCCCGTCCAGTGTCCACTGTGGCTGCTCCAAGCAATGGAGACTCAGGCTACCATCGGAGTCGCTGCAAAGTCGGGGACAAGTGATGAAGCGGCCGAATAACATTTTAAAGCTCAGGAATCTGGATCTGTTGATCTACCCTTGGCCAGAACTTAGAAGACGGCAGGTTGCTTCTGACCTAATGAGCCTCCTCCTTCTCCCCGCTTTTTCCGGCCTTACTTGGGCCCCCTTCCTTTTCCTCTTTACGTATCTGCCTCCTTTTCTCAATCTCCTCACTGTTGGTTTTGTATCCTATTTTCTGGTATAGTTTCTGTGATTTCTTTCTTTTATTTATTATTATTATTGTTGTTGAGACAGAGTTTTGCCCTTGTTGCCCAGGCTGGAGTGCAATGGCGCGAACCTGGCTCACTCCAGCCAGCGCCTCACAGGTTCAGGTGATTCTCCTGCCTCAGCCTCCGGAGTAGCTGGGGTTACAGGCACGGGCCACCAGCCCAGCTAATTTTTGTATTTTTAGTACAGACGGTGTTTCACCATGTTAGTCAGGCTGGTCTCGAACTCCTGACCTCAGGTGATCCGCCCACCTCGGCCTTCCAAAGTGCTGGGATTACAGGCATGAGCTACTGTGCCCAGCCTCTATGATTTCAATTTTCATGTTTAAGTACCTATGTAGAACCTAACTGTCCATAAGTAAACACAACAAAAAAAAGATTTGGCTTTTGGTCAAAGATCATTGGAGGTTACACAGGGTAAAGTGCAGTATGATTTTTATCACAATTAGAAAGATTAAAAAGAGATGACAGTGAGTTTGTGAGAACAGGTTTGTGTTTCATAAAATGAATTGTGTGAGTTAGCTATGATGAACTGCAAGCAGCTTGCATTTCCAAAGACAAATAGAGACACAGGAATCTAATTAAAATGCTAAAGTAATGGGAAGGAGACATCCATACGTTTTTGTCCCCCTAAGGTTCCAGATTTATAGTTTGAGCATCATCTCGGCTTACATTTTCTCTGTGGAAAACATCAGCCATTACATTACTTGGCTCTGGGTTGAAATCCTAACTTCATCAACTGAAGATCTTATGACCTAGGCAAGTTTATTAACCTCCTCTATGACGTGATAAAAATAGTATCTCTTGTGCGGATTAGAAGACATGTTCCTCTATGCTAAGATGATTATTATGTGCGGAACACATAGTTAAGTGCTTGATAAATTGAACTATGGCAAATCCAGTCTCAACCGTGGCAAAACTAAGTTAATAAAAATGAAACATAACCTTTATTATTTTAGTGCTTGTGTTTTATTTTAAAACTAGCAGTATAATTTCCACGAGGATTTTGCTAAAATTAACAAGTACATTTCGAAAGTAATTTCTGTCCCTCTTGTATCACACAAACATTACAACCAAAAAGTAAAAAACATTCTCCCATGACCCAATCACACCCATTTTTTTCTTTAGTGTTCCCTTCTACTTTGTTTCACATATGTGCATGCTTTTACATTAAACTAATACAGATTAAGTCTTCTGATTTTCTTTACACATAACGCTTTTTCATGTTTCTCAAATTATTACTTTACATATTTGATATCCTATTCTGAAGAAACGGTTTTTTTTTTTTGGAGACAGGGTCTTGCTCTGTTGCCCAGGCTAAAGTGCAGTGGCACCATCTCAGCTCACTGCAACCTCCTCCCAAGCTCAAGTGATCCTCCCACCTCAGCCTCCTGAGTAGCTGGGACTACAGGAGCATGCCACCATGCCTGGCTAATTTTTGTACTTTTTGTAGAGACGGGGTCTTGCCATGTTGCTCAGGCTGGTCTCAAACTCCTGGGCTCAAGTAATGCTCCTACCTTGGCCTCCCAGAGTGCTGGGATTACAGATGTGCACCACCACACCTGCCAGTTTTACTTTTTAATGACAGTTGTTTTATCCTGTAAAATCTGTTTGGTCTTTGTATATTAGAGCTTTCTTTTTATATTAATTCTAGAATTGGACTACTGTTTGATTTGTATGCTTTCCATTATTTGACAATGACTTAAGATTCTGAGTGATGGCCGGCTGTGGTGGCTCACACCTGTAATCCCAGCACTTTGGGAGGCTGAGGCAGGAGGATTGCTTGAGCCCGGGAGTTCAAGACCAGCCTAGGCAACATGACGAAACCCCGTCTCTACAGAAAAAAAAAAAAAAAAAATTAGCTGGGCATGGTGGTGTGTGCCTGTAGTCCCAGCCACTCCTGAGGCTGAGGCAGGAGGATTGCTTGAGCATAGAAGGTGGAGGCTACAGTGAGCTATGATCACACCACTGCACTCTAGCCTGGGCAACAGAGTGAGACCCTGTCTCCAAAACAAATAAATAAAAAGATTCTGAGTAATAAATTAGATCATTAGCCACAATCCTTTGATGAAATAAGTGAAGGTCCCAACAAGAAAATTTGTCAATAGAAGAATGTAAGGGAATTGACCACCAGATTCTTCTTTTCCTCCATGGTATTCTGACCTTAGCTGTGTGTGTGTGTTTGTGTGTGTGTGTGTGTGTGTGTGTGTGTGTGTGTTATGTAACAGTAGTTGTTATGTAAACAATTCATTATTTTAAATCAGTTACTAAGAATAAACTTTAATGATGAGATGCAAAATGAATACTGAAAGCTTTACTAATTGGAACGGTATAGTACTCCAAAGAATATCTGTGTCCATAGAGACAAGTGAAGGTGAGGAGTTTCAAGCAGTTGAGCAATTCGCAGGTCTCACAAAACAGCAAAATCAAGACCAACATGATGTCAGCTCCCTGCATCTCTAATCCCATGGGACAGCATTCCCAATCTCAGAGGTCAGATGACAGGTCTTATGAGTGGTGGGTCACTCTGTCGAGGAACAAACTAAACTTCAGCAAGCAGTTCTACAGATTTACACAGAAGCCTGCGGCTCCATCCTAAAGTGGAGCAGGTTGTAGGGGGTGCGGAGAAAGAAGGGGAAGATGGAAAGCCCTAGTCTCAACTAAACTAGGGACATGGATGAGAAACAGCCTTGTGAGACTCTCCCACAAGATAGGGAAGCCCTGTGGGCAAGGTCATCCCTGAGCTGAATGGGAACCTCCCTGGCATGGCCTTTTGTGTCCCCACTGCCAACGTGTCAGTTGTGGGCCTGAACTGCCATCTGGAAAAACCTGCCAAATAGGATGACATCAGGAAGGTGGTGAAGCAGGCTTCAGAGGGCTCTTCAAGGGCATCCCGGGCTACACCGAGCACCAGGTCATCTCCTCCAACTTCAACAGTGACACCCACTCTTTCACCTTCGATGCTGGAGCTGGCATTGCCCTCGACGACCACTTTGTCAAGCACATTTCCTGATATGACAGTGAGTTTGGCTACAGCAACAGGGTGGCGGAGCCCACATGGCCTCCAAGGAGTAAGACCCCCGGACCACCAGCCCCAGTGAGAGCACGAGAGGACGAGAGAGGCTCTCACTGCTGCGGAGTCCCTGCCCCACTCAGCCCCCGCCCCCACTGAGAATCTCCCCTCCTCACAGTTTCCACGCAGACGCCCTGAAGAGGGAGACACCATGGGAGCCTCACCTTGTCGTGTACCATCAATAAAGTTTCCTGCACTCAATCAAAAAAAAAAAAAAAAAAAAAAGGGAAGCCTTGCCTTGCTCCCAGGGAAATCACAGGCATTCGGCGAGGACTCAGGGTAGACCGCAGTCAGGCCTTGGCTCTGTGGCTATGTGGAGATGTCCAAGGTTGTCAGGGGTCTCAGCAGTGCTGTTTTATGAAAACGGGGAAATTTGAAAGACATTTAATCCTTCCTTTTTATCCCCCTCCTCCCTTTCTTCCCCCCCCCCCCGCCTTTTCCTACAGGTACAATATTCATTGAATTTTAAGTGTTGGGGATAAAGTGGTGAGCCAGAGTTCTAAAGGAGGAGAAACGGTAAACAAAGTAAACGATTTAAGTTGTCAGATGATTCAAAGTGCTACAGAAAAAAAGCAGGGAAGGCCAGGCGCGGTGGCTCATGCCTGTAATCCCAGCACTTTGGGAGGCCAAGGTGGGCAGATCACTTGAGGTCAGGAGTTCAAGACCAGCCTCGCCAACATGGTGAAACCTCGTCTCTACTAAAAATACAAAAATTAGTTGGGCATGGTGGCGCACACCTGTAATTCCAGCTACTCGGGAGGCTGAGGTAGGAGAATCACTTGAACCTGGGAGGCAGAAGTTGCAGTGAGTCCAGATCATGCCACTGCACCCCAGCCTGGGTGATAGAGTGAGACTGTATCTCAGAAAAAAACAAAAGCAACACGAAAAAGCAGGTAAGAGTGGAAGGGGGTGCTAGGATGGGTGATAAAAGGCCTCCTGAGATGACAGATGAGCAAAGACCTAGAGGAGTGGAAGCACTGAGCCAGGCCGACCCTGGGAAGATAATTCTGAGGTAGAGACGGGAGAGCAGCAGTGCGACAGGCCTGTTAGAACAGCCGGGAGGCCAAGTGGAGCGGAAGCCCTTTGAAGGCAGGTAAGAATGAGAACAGAAGAAAGACGGAGAGAGATGGCCAGAGGCTCATAGACGAGAAGACCAGGCTAAAGCTATTTCTTGTCTCAAAGTCTTCCTGGAGGTGTTGCCATGTCGGCTAAGTCTTGAAGGAGGAGTTGGCTGTTAAGAAAGTGGGAAAAGGAGCCAGGTATGGTGGCTCGCGCCTGTAGTCCCAGCACTTTGGGAGGCCAAGGCGGGTGGATCACTTGAGGTCAGGAGTTTGAAACCAGCCTGGCCAACATGGCGAAACCCCATCTCTACTAAAAATACAAAAATTAGCTGGGCATGGTGGCATACGCCTGTAATCCCAGCTACTAGGGAGGCTGAGGCAGGAGAACCACTTGAATCCGGGAGGTGGAGGTTCCAGTGAGCTGAGATGTCACCACTGCACTCCAGCCTGGGTGATAGATTGAGACTCCGTCTCAAAAACAAGAAAGAGAGAGAGAAGAAAGAGAAAGAGAAAAGAAAAAATCAAAGAGAGAAAGAGAGAGGGAGGGAGGGAAAAGAAAAGGAAAAGAAAATAAAAAGAAAAGAAGGAAAAGGGTGTGCCAGACAGTGGAGTGGCAACTATCTACCAACGTGGAGAAAGGGAACTTGAAGTCCTTCAGTTACCTGGGGTAGAGCATCCATGCCTGTGGGAAATAGCGAGAGATGTGGTTGAAGAGGTCAGCAGGACCTGGTCCATCCCGGAGGACCACATGTACTGTTCAGCCAAGGAGAGCTAAATTGTCATTGCAGAGAAGAGAGCAAAACCATGGATGCACCATTCGTGAGGCTTGGGTCCAACCCTACAGCCATTACATCAAAATGGTGGTGGGAATTAGGGATCAGACTGGGGTTTGTATCTTTTTTTCCCCAGGTAATTGAATGCACTGCCAGGGTTAAGAAATGTTCATCGTGACAGTACTAAAGATTCAATGCAATCCCTATCAGAATCCCAAAGGATTTTTTTTATAGAAAAAGAAAAACCTATTCTGAAACTCATGCTATGGTTTTTATTTTATTTTATTTTATTTTATCTTATTTATTTTTGAGACAGAGTCTCACTCTGTTGCCCAGGCTGGAGTGCAGTGGCAAGATCTTGGCGCACTGCAGCCTCCGGCTCCCAGGTTCAAGCAATTCTCCTTGCCTCAGCCTCTCAAGTAGCTGGGATTACAGGTGCCCACCAGCATGCCTAGCTAATTTTTGTATTTTTAGAAGAAGGGTTTTTGCCATGTTGGCCAGGCTGGTCTTGAACTCCTGACCTCAAGTGATCTGCCCACCTCGGCCTCCCAAAGTGCTGGGATTACAGGCGTGAGCCACCGCGCCTGGCCCCTTCTTGCATCTCAAGACAAGACACACATGGCTAGGCAATGAGATGGGGAATGGCAACCCAGGAGAAGAAAATACTTTCAAAAGAGGTCTTAAAAGAACATTCTGGATTTAGAGAAAAAAGCAGAGAACAATGTAGCGTCCATCCCTCTCCTCTTCTGGATTCTTACAGTGACGATAATTCCAGAATGTCTCAGCTGAAGATATGGACTGATACCTGAACTCAGTGCAGTATTTCCTGCTGAAACACCACAGACCGGGTTCTGCCCGCAGCCAGGACTAGGCTAACAGAGAAAGGCCTGGCTGTGCTGAAGCTGCCATGAGCCTCAGTACCCCCACGGGACCTTTCCCATCATCTAGGACTTCAAACACAAACAACTGCCCAGTAGGTTTTTCTAACATTTTGCTTTTGGTCCTTCACTTGGAAATGCACTGATTTCACCAGGAAAATATTTGTGAGGAGAAAAAAAAAGATTTTCATGAAAACGCAAATATTTTAAAAATGTAGCTTTATGCAAAAGCAAGCTGAAAGGTTTCTTGTTGCATTGTTGTACGTTGAAGCTCAGTCACTTTGCTGACATTGAGTTTCTTTTTTCTCCCAGTCACCCTTCTCCACCAATGCTACTATTTATGCGAAGTGTCGGAAATTAGCTTCTCATGTGACCACCCAATTCGGTTCCAGTCCTTTGGAAATGTAATCCTATTCGGTGTGTCTGCAGACTTGGAGTGACATTGGGTTTGTTCCCCTAGAAAACTGAGTCAAATTGAATAGGCGTTTAGTCCTGTGCCTTTACCATAATTAAAAACAAGTTAAGCTGATTATAGCATGTGTCCAGAATTTAGGTGGTTTTGCTTTATAAAGAGAAGAGGTGCAAACCACAGGCCACTTTCTCTCATGATAAACAGCGCCTGGAGGCAGCGTGGAGGAGACACATCCATCATCCACGTTTCTAGGAATAATGGACATGAGAGAAGTATGTATAAAGAAGGAATCCTGTGCTTCGGGAAGCCGAGGTGGGAGGATCGCTTGAGGTCAGGAGTTCGAGACCAGCCTGGGCAACCTAGTGAGACGCCCCCCCCACCACCTCTCTTAAAAAAAAAAAAAACACATATATATATATTTTTTAATTTGCACTTTTAATTTATAAAATTTTTAATTTTTAACATTTTAAATATATATAAATTTATATATAATTTTTAGAGAAAAAATATATAATATATATATACCTAGGAAGACCCCAACCTCTGAAAAAAATTTATATATATAAATTTTTAATTTATAAAATTTTAAATACATATTTACTTATTCTTTTTTTTTTTTGAGACGGAGTTTCACACTTGTTGCCCAGGCTGGAGTGCAATGGTGCAATCTTGGCTCACCACAGCCTCCACCTCCCGGGTTCAAGCGATTCTCCTGCCTCAGCCTCCCGAGTAACTGGGATTACAGGTATGCGCCACCACACCCGGCTAATTTTGTATTTTTAGTAGAGACAGGGTTTCTCCATGTTGGTCAGGCTGGTCTCGAACTCCCGACCTCAGGTGATCTGCCGGCCTCAGCCTCCCAAAGTGTTGGGATTACAGGCGTGAGGCACCGCGCCCGGCCAATACATATTTACATGTATAAATTTTTTTAAATTGAAAAAATTACATATGTATTTTAAGAGAGTTGGGGCGGGTCTCTCTAGATAAATATATATCTCTCTCTCTATATATATATATATTTTTTCTCTCTCTCTCTCTCTCTCTGTCTCTCTCCTTCTTTCTTTCTTTCGAAGGCATTCCAGGGGAGGCCTGTGCCCTACGGAGACCTCTCTGGGTTTCCTGCAAAGAACCGCTTGAGAAAGAATAGAAGAGAGAGCCAAGAGCGGAGAGAAACTCATTTAAATTCTCCTGTCTTCGCCTTTCCATTTGCAGCCTGGGGAACCCGGCGTGCAGTACCGCTCACCGCCCAGCCTCGCCCCCGCGCCCGCGACCAATGGGAGGCGGCCGGGCCGGGAGCGCGGCCAATGGCAGCGGCCGGAGGAGACGCGGCCGTTTAAGAAGCGGTGGGTGCGAGAGGGGGCAGAGCACCGGACGACAACAGCAGCAGCAACAACGCGGCAGCCGCCACCATGGCCCTGCAGGTACCCGGGGCGCGGGGAGGCCACGCGGGAGGGGCGCTCCGCGAGGGGAGTGCTTAAGTGGGGCTCCGGGTGGGCTTGGCGCCCCTGGGAGCGGTCGGCGGTGACCCGGGGGACACGCCCACTCCTTCCCCAGCGCCCCAGATGGCAGTGTAGACCGCACCTGTGCCTGCTGACGGCGAGCCAGGGCTCCCAGGGCAACCCTTCCGGACCCCAGGGGCCGGGTGAGCGGAAAAGCAGGCAAGGCAGGAGCGCCGGGGAGCACGGAGCGGGCCTCCTCCTCTCCGTCTCCGAGAGGGAGTCGAGATCCCCCGCTCCCGCCCCTTCGCTCGTTGGGACCTCCAGGACCTCTCTTAGTGTCATACTGAGCAGAAGAGATCTGTGAGGCTCCAATTTAAAAATACTGTTTTATAGGTATGTGAAAAAAATTGTTAAGGGTGGAAAACTTTGGAAAAGACAACAAATATAAAGTAATAATTACTGATAATAATCCAATGATAATTCCTTCACCCAGGTGATAATCACTGCTACATGCTAGGGTAATTCCTAGTATGTCCTAGTATGTTATTTTCCATGTGTGTATGTGTGTGGCATATATCTACACACATACCTATGATGTTATTGTGTATATAGTTTTATTCCTACACGTAAAACAGTAATATGAGCATTTTCTCATTATTAAATATTCTAAAATGTAATTTTATTTTTCTTTTTTGAGACAGAGTCTCATTCTGTTGCCCAGGTTGAGGCGCAGTTGGTGCGATCTCTGCTCACTGCAACCTCTGCTCACTGCAACCTCCACCTCCCAGGTGTAAGCGATTCTCATGTCTCAGCCTCCGCAGTAGCTGGGGTTACAGGTGCACGCCACCACGCCCGGCTGATTTTTGTAATTTTTTTTTTTTTTTTTTAAGATGGAGTCTCATTCTGTCACCCAGGCTGTTTGAGATGGAGTCTCACTCTGTCACCCAGGCTGGAGTGCAGTGGTGCAATCTCAGCTCACCGCAACCTCCGCCTCCCAAGTTCAAGTGATTCTCCTATCTCAGCCTCCCAAATAGCTGGGATTATAGGCGTGCGCCGCCACTCCTGGCTATTTTTCTCTATTTTTAGTGGAGATGGGGTTTCGCTGTGTTGGCCAGACTGGTCTCCAACTCCTGACCTCAAGTGATCCACCCGCCTTGGACACCCAAAGTGCTGGGATTTCAGGCGTGAGCCACCACGCCCGGCCTCTAAAATGTAATCTTTTACATGCACAAAATTTCATAGAACGTGGCTCACTTCTTTAACCATTTCAGTCAGGCAAGACGTTATCCTGCGTAAAGTTGTAATACATACTTCAGGGCCATCTGGGTTCAAATGTGTGCCTCACTTCTACTTAGCCTGTGACATAGTTAACCTCTCCGTGCCTCAGTTTCTTTATCTAAAAATGCAGGAGAGATACATTAAATGAGTTATATGTATAAAGCATTTAAAACAATGTTTGGCATGTGGTAGAAGTCCAATAAGGATAAGCTTGTGGTGGAACATTTAGTTTGTTTGTTTTGAGACAGGGTCTCACTCTGTCACCCAGGCTGGAGTGCAATGGCATGATCTCAGCTCACTGCAGCCTTGACCTCCTGGGCTCAAGTGATCCTGCCACTTCAGCCTCCCAAGTAGCTTGGACCACAGGCACCTGCCACCACACCTGGCTATTTTTTTTTTTTTTTTTTGAGATGGAGTTTCACTCTTGTTGCCCAGGCTGGAGTGCAATGGCGCAATCTTGGCTCACCGCAACCTCCACCTTCTGGGTTCAACCGATTCTCCTGCCTCAGCCTCCTGAGTAGCTGGGATTACAGGCATGTGCCACCACACCCAATTAATTTTGTATTTTTAGTAGAGATGGAGTTTCTCCATGTTGGTCAGGGTGGTCTCAAACTCCTGACCTCAGGTGATCTGCCCGCCTCAGCCTCCCAAAGTGCTTGGATTACAGGTGTGAGCCACCATGCCAGGCTTTCCTTTTTTGTATCTTTTGTAGACATTTGGTTTTGCTGTGTTGCCCAGGCTGATCTCCAACTCCTGAGCTCAAGCGATCCACCCGCCTTGGCCTCCCAAAGTGCTGGGATTACAGGCATGAGCCACCTTGCCTGGCTCAAATATTCTTGTGCGTGACTTATGTGTTTATACTGAACTCTCTCCAAAATGATCAAAATGTTCTTTCTAAAATTTCCTGAAAGATCTGAAAGTTTCCTTTTTAGCTTAGTACTTTGGTTTTCTGTTGTTGTTTGCTTTTAAAATACTTGCAACGAGGAATTAAGAGTTGAGGAACATCACAGAAAAGCAGTATGCTAAGAAGTATTAACATCGACCCATGATATTATCTACTAATAATGCATTTGCGTGTCAACAATATTGGGGGAAGGTAACTTTTTTTTTTTTTGAGATGGTGTCTTGCTCTGTTGCCCAGGCTGGAGTGCAATGGCGTGATCTTGACTCACTGCAACCTCCACCTCCCAGATTCAAGCAATTCTCCTGCCTTAGCCTCCTAGTAGCTGGAATTACAGGTGCCTGCCACCACGGCCGGCTAATTTTTGTATTTTTAGTAGAGACAGGGTTTCACCATGTTGGCCAGGCTGGTCTTGAACTCCTGACCTCAAGTGATCTGCCTGCCTCAGCCTCCCAAAGTGCTGGGATTACAGATGTGAGCTACCACGCCCAGCTGAAAGTAACTTTTAAAAATGACAACTAATAACTGGCTGACATATTGAAATCTCTTCTGTCTTTATTACCTCACTGGCATGTGCGGGGATCATATTGGTACTAGTGTTCTGCCAAGATGCTCACTGAGTGGAAATGAGAGGAAAGGTGACTAGTTCAGGGTCCCCAGTCTTCTATTTATTTACACAAGAATAAGTATACTGGCAGACTGTCATTGGAGTAGCAAAACAAATGGAATTTCTAATTCGGCTATAGCCTCCTGATTTTATCTGAAAATTACAATATGTTTCCATCCTCACCAAAGCATTTAGGAGAGCTGATGTTTATCCTAAATGGACAAATTTCTTTCCTAGATGATGAAGCTAAAAAACAGACTTCTTCCTCTAGAATATGTATCTTTTCAAGTCTAGGGTACTGATGATTTTAACAACTGGCAAAAAAAGACTAACCTCTTCCCCCAGCCCACATTTGTGTGACCTAAGAACCCTGCAGTTCCTTGAGTGTGAGAATTTTTTATCTTCTTAATTGGGTTGCTCAATGGGAAAGAATTGCTCAAGAAGACCTTGCCAACCCCCTATGTGGGATGACCATGTTCATTGCAGAAAGTAAAGTCAGGTGAGGTGAGAGCCACCCTCGGAGGCTGTCTTCAGCGGGGCTGAAATGTGAAAGGTAATTTACACAGCAGCCCGCCTAGTCAGCACGGAAGGATGCACCCAGGATGTACCCAGTGTGAGTGATGCTGGCGTAACTTCTACGCCAAAGGTGGGGTGAGGGAGCCTAGTGTCAAAAGTTGAACAGGAGAGAGTCCAGGGAGGGGCTGTAGTAGCCTTAAGGCAGTTTGTCTTGCAGAATCCCAAGCTCGGGTGACCGGGAGATAATGCACAAAACATTCAACCAGGATGCCGAGGACCCCTCGCTCAGGAGAAATCAGCTCAGCATTGGCTGCAGTTCCTGCCAAAGGCAGCAAGCCCAGCTCTGCAACAGGATACTGCAAAACTGTGATGCCTTTCTCTCAGGATGAGGCAGGAGAATAGGGTCTGGAGGCAGGGAACCTAAGGCCGATTCACACTGACTTTGTAGAACTAAATCAAAACCCCAACTTTCCACACCTATGTAATAAAAGGACCGGAGGCTACTCCCTTTGCAACCTCCTCCCCACTTTCTGTGTGGCAGATGGAAAATTGAAAGTATCTCTGACTGGTTGCTTTCTGCAACCAATCAGACATTTGCACAGGAATGTACCTTTGTAACTTCATTTCAGCCTCTGATTGGTTGCTTTCCCCAACCAGTCAGACTGATCGTGAGCCAAGTCTTTATTTGCATAGAAGTGTAACTTTGTAACTTCAGCCTCTGATTGCAGGCCGCTACTTCATTTACATAGGATGCACACCAAGTAACCAATGGGAAGCCTCTGGAGGGCGTTTAAGCACAGAAAATTCTGTAACAGGGATCTTGAGTCCCTGTGCTCGGCCTGCTCCCACCCTGTGGAATGTACTTTCGCTTTCAGTAAATCTCGGCTTTTGTTGCTTCATTGTTTCCTTGCTTTGTTTGTGCATTTTGTCCAATTTTTTGTTCAAAATGCCAAGAACTTGGGCACCCTCCACTGGTAACAAGAATGCTTTGGAATTCAATGTCCATGGCTCTATATTTAAAGCTGCATCTCACCTATGATAACTTTCTGATCCCCCTAAAGTCTGCTCGCTCGTTAACCATCCAACAAGGATGTACTTAATAGACTCAGACCAGGCTCACGCCACCCACCAGCAGTCCGTGAGGCCCCGTGGGTGCTGCCAAGGTGATTATTGATTGATTGTTTATTTATTGATTTGTGAGTATTTATGCAACCCCACATAGCCTTTATGTTGAGCTCTAGTAAGTTCTGTCCACACCGCTGGGAGCAGCTTTCCCTGCCCCTCTGCAGCCAACAATCGCAGACCCGATCCCATCTCATCTCAGGGATGGCTTTTTCCGTTCCGTACCTTCCCGTCTGTGCTACCTCCTGTGTTCCCAGAGCAACTGCTGCACCTTATTTGCAGCAAGTCCCCTGTGGTCACCGTTGCCCTGTTCATCTCCCACCAGGCTATGAGCGCCTTCAAGCACGCTGCCTTGTGCATGCCCATCTGCCTGGCAAAGGCCTGGCCTGTCGGAGGTGTTCAGTAAGTAGGTTTGTTAATTAGTATGAGCTGTGAGATGAACTCTGGGAGGGCAGACTCCATAGGATCAAATCAAGAATATTTTACATTCTTGGCCGGGCATCGTGGCTCACGCCTGTAATCCCAGCACTTTGGGAAGCAGAGGTAGGCAGGTCACTTGAGTTCAGGAGTTCAAGACCAGCTTGGCCAACATGGCAAAACCCTATCTTTATTAAAAATACAAAAAAATTAGCCAGGCGTGGTGGTGCATGCCTGTAATCCTAGCTACTTGGGAGGCTGAGGTGGGAGGATCGCTTGAACCAGGAGGTGGAGGTTGCAGTGAGCCGTGATTGTGCCGCTGTACTCTAGCTTGGACAACAGAGCGAGACTGTCTCAAAAAGAAAATTATATTCTTAATCATCCTTAACCCTAGCACAAAAAGAGGCTGATATTCTCTTTTTGTGGCCGAAGCTGCATCTTAGAGGAGCTTTGTTTGTTGCATCGAGTCCCAGGGCAGTGTGTCTCAAAGCTGGAAGTCAAACCTGAGTATCCTGGCCAAGGCCAATGTTGTTTGTACTCCAGCTCATCATGGCTGGGATGGGAAAGGCCTCCTGCAGGAAGGTGCATCAGAACAGCCCCTTAAGGCAGGAATGTATTGCACTGAGGTGCCAGAACCAGACAGGCTAGACAGAGAGAATGATGCTGGCCCCTGCTCTAGAACTGAGTTCCCTACCTAGGGAGGGAGAAAGAGCGGGGACCCCTGAAATGGCATGGGAAACTGTGTGAGGGCATAGCTCTTCTGTGCAGAGGGGTCCAGGACTTTCATTAGATCTTTTTTTCTTTTCTTTTTTCTTTTTTTTGAGACGGAGTCTTGCTCTGTCACCCAGGCTGGAGTGCAGTGGCAGGATCTTGGCTCACTGCAACCTCTGCTCCTGGGTTCAAACTATTTTCCTGCCTCAGTCTCCTGAGTAGCTGGGATCACAGGTGTGAGGCACCGTGCCCAGCTAATTTTTTGTATTTTTAGTAGAGACGGTGTTTCACCATTTTGGCCAGGCTGGTCTCGAACTCTTGACCTTAAGTGAGCCACCTCCCTCAGCCTCCCAAAATGCTGGGATTACAGACGTGAGCCACTGCACCCAGCCCTCATATGGGTTTTCAAGAAGGCTTAGAATTCTAATTAAGGCTTGGCACCTCAAAAGGAGTCGAGTTGCTGTCACTGGAAAATAATATGAGACTTTACAGCAAGCAGAACACCTGAGATGGCCTATAAACCTACAGAGGAAGGTCCTACACCCCTTCTGCATAGCCTTGCCCTCAAGCAGCTCAGCCACTCATGTAGCATTTCAATTTTGTTCTTATTATAAACACAATCCATGCACATTATAGAAGATTTGGAGAGTACAAAAATATTTTAAAACTACATAACTTGCCAGTAATCAGAGGCAATTACTGTTTACATATCTTTAGTATACATCTTTCTAGTTTTTATTTTTTCTATACTACTTACAAAGCTGAGTGTATAAAAAGAATTTGTGTTCTTTGCTAAACCATAAACTAAAAGTATTTCTTATGTCTTGCTTTATTGCAAGTACCTTTTTTTTTTTTTTTTTTTTGAGATAGTCTTGCTCTGTTGCCCAGGCTGGAGTGTAGTGGCATGATCTCGGCTCACTGCAACCTCTACCTCCAGGGTTCAAGCGATTCTCCTGCCTCAGCCTCCCGAGTAGCTGGGATTACAGGCATGTGCCACTATGCCCAGCTAATTTTGTATTTTCAGTAGAGACGGGTTTCTCCATGTTGGTCAGGCTGGTCTCAAACTCCCAACCTTAGGTGATCCACCTGCCTTGGCCTCCCAAAGTGCTGGGATTACAGGTGTGAGCCACTGCGCCCAGCCTGGTCACACAGCTCTTAAGAGATGGAGTTGAGATTCCAATCAAGGCAGTCTGGCTCCAGAGCCATGTTCTTAACCATGGCATTATGTATAAAGCAGCCAAGAGTTTCTTAGGAAGACACTCAGAAGACAAGGCACCCCTTGTTCCATGCCCCGTGCTTCTCAGTCCCCTGTGGGAACTGGGTAGGAGGATGGGCCACGTTCAAGGTTATTTAGGCTGAAGACCCTGATCTCCAACTTACAGGTGATTGTGCTCTTCACAAAACAACTGTTCTGGTTGTGCTACTGTTCGTGGACCAAGCTGAGAGCCCGGCTGCTTACTCTCTCAGCTCAATAACGAGATGCAGATAAACTGGGAGAGAAGAGATTTGATTTCTGTAGCTGGGTGCAAGGAGAAGGACTGCAAATTATTGCGAAGCCAACTCAAAATTACAGAGTTTTCCAGAGCTTATATGCCTGCTAAGTTATATGTCTGCATGTAAGTGTGCGTTCATCTAAAACCTTAAGTGATGAACTTCTTCTAATATATAACTAAGGGCTGAGATCTGAAGACCTTCCTCTGGAGCCTCAGTAAATTTACTTAATCTGGATGGGTCCAGGTGCTGCAGTGATTACCCTTATCTTATTTCCTGCTAAATCATGGAGGGTTGGGGAGTTCCTTCAGACCCCAATAAAACTTGTTTAATCCTAAATGGGTCCTGTTAAGAATTCCTTCATTATCTTGTCATGCCTCAAGCCCCAGGAAGGGCCTGGGCAAAACTCTTGGTGGGCTTTTGTTACCTTGGAGTCTTCGTATGAGGGCACTTGCTCTTTCTGCTTTTAGTATTTAACGTTAACCACTCAGTCAGTGCTGAAACGGTTGTTATGGAGGCCTGCCTGTTTAGCCATTAGGGAAACCTGGCCTGCCACAGTACTGCCTGTCTTTGGGGCTGGAAGGAAACTTGACCCTGCCACTCCGCTGAGCCCGCAGGGTACTGAGGTTACAGTGGGGCTATCCACTTTCTCTCCTAGGCCTTTGGATCCAAAGGGAGCTCTGGCATCAGAGAAGAAGTATGGGGGGCAGGGGGTGGCCAGCATATGTCCTTGAACTTCCCCTGTTTGACAGCCAGCCTACTGACAATTCCTGCTTATCCTGAGTTTTAAAAAATAAGGCAAGGTAAGACACAGTTTAGTTTAAAAATCTATAAAGGAAACTAATCACAAAGCTCTTTGTAGAGTATAAACTAAGAGGTTAGAAAGGGAAAAGGATAAAGATCCTGGGAACACTCAGGCTCTGGAGTAGACTGGACTTCCTTGTCTATTTCAGCCACTGGCTGAACCCTGGGCCAGCCTGAGGGTCTTGCGGGGTTAGGGAGGTCCCAGTTATCAGAGCTAACTCAGGACAAGGCTTAAACTACTTAAGTACATTTGGTTTTTTGTTTTTGTTTTTGAGACAGAGTCTCACTTTGTCGCCCAGGCTAGAGTGCAGTGGTGCTATTTCAGCTCACTGCAACCTCCGCCTCCCAGGTTCAAGCAATTCTTGTGCCACAGACTCCTGAGCAGCTGGGATTACAGGCACGCACCACCAAGCCCAGCTAATTTTTGTATTTTTAGTAGAGACAGGGTTTTGCTATGTTGGCCGGGCTGGTCTCGAACTCCTGACCTCAAGCGATCCCCCTGCCTCAGCATCCCAAAGTGCTAGGATTACAGGCATGAGCCACCACACCAGGCTTAAGTACATTGTATATAGAGTTTCCAGGAAGTCTAAAAACATACCACTCAAGCATATTGGTATACAAAGTTTTCCCTAATAAGCTCTAAATTGGCTAAACAACTCCTCTTTTCTAGAAATCAGTTGCAATAAATCTTATAATTTAGGTCTAGTGTGGAAAGGAATCTGTACAAGCAATTCAGCCAAATCAGGAATAGTGATTACCCTCAGAAACTGGCTAGGTCTAAATAATACTGATATTAAAGAATGTAGGCATGAGGGCACTGGAAGAGAAACGCCCTAGACGATGGTATTAACTGGTAGCGAAGCCCCTGCATGTAGTAAAGTTGGACTGAGGCAGAAGAGGAAGGGCGCATCTGCGAGGTGATTGAGAAACCTTCAATGAGTATAAATAATGCCAAAAAAAAAAAAAAAGAAAAGCAGCTGGGCACGGTGGCTCACACCTGTAATCCCAGCACTTCGGGAGGCCAAGGTGGGTGGATCACAGGGTCAGGAGTTCAAGACCAGCCTGGCCAAGATGGTTAAACCCCGTGTCTACTAAAAATACAAAACTTAGCCAGGCGCGGTGGCAGGTGCCTATAATCCCAGCTACTCGGGAGGCTGAGGCAGGAGAATGGCATGAACCCAGGAGGCGAAGGTTGCAGTGATCCGAGATCTTGCCACTGCACTTCAGCCTGGGCAACAGAGTGAGACTCAGTCTCAAAAAAAAAAAAGCAAACTCACCATCAGGTTCAGTGGCTCACGCCTGTAGTCACAGCACTTTGGGAGGCCGAGGCAGGGGGATCACTTGAGGTCAGGAGTTCAAGACAAGCCTGGCCAACATGACAAAACCCCATCTCTACAAAAAATACAAAAATTAGCCGAGTGTGGTGGTGCACCCCTGTAGTCCCAGCTACTTGGGAGGCTGAGGTAGGAGAATGGCTTGAGCCCCAGAAGTAGAGGTTGCAGTGAGTGGAGACGGTGCCACTGCACTGCACTCCAGCCTGGGCGAGAGAGCCAGACCTTGGCTCAAAAAAAAAAAAAAAAAAAGAAGTTAAACCGAACATTTTCTGTATTAAGAATTTTCTATAGTTCCTCATATTAGGTAAGTCCCAGGAGAGGTGAACTCCTAGGAATTCAAGTAAATTAAGATGATTCTGATAGAACCAGAGCAGCAGAAGTTCATTTCTACTTGGAACCTTCCTCTTCCTGCTCTTTGAGTTCCTATTCCTTGGTGGTAAAATGCTCCTTTTGTTTGTTTGTTTGTTCTTCCTTTAGGCTGATTTTGACAGGGCTGCAGAAGATGTGAGGAAGCTGAAAGCAAGACCAGATGATGGAGAACTGAAAGAACTCTATGGGCTTTACAAACAAGCAATAGTTGGAGACATTAATATTGGTATTATATATTATTAATATTAATATATTCATATGTTACAATTAATATATTAATTGCGATTATAATATATAATTACTTAAAATATAGTAATATACTCCGTTTGAACAATGTCTATAGAAGTGCACAGTAAAATGTTAACCTGCAAATGCATGTCTCCTTCTTTTGCCAGCGTGTCCAGGAATGCTAGATTTAAAAGGCAAAGCCAAATGGGAAGCATGGAACCTCAAAAAAGGTTTTTTAGTCTTTCACAAGTTTAAAGCAAACTTTCTTAATTTCCCAGTGCACCAATCAGGGAGATAACCTGTTTGTATCTTTCTAGGGTTGTCGACGGAAGATGCGACGAGTGCCTATATTTCTAAAGCAAAGGAGCTGATAGAAAAATACGGAATTTAGAATACAGCATATGAGGAATTTTTCCTTTTGAAGACTTCCAAATGCTATCATGACCTAACATTTAGAGGGAGAGGCATACTGTTAACTTGATGTATCATGTATATTTTTGCTATTAGCATGAGCTGTAGTACTTAGAAGTATACTGAAACTACATAGTTAACTCAATTGTACTTGCTTAAACCAGGTGTCTTTAAAAGTTCTTTTTAAGAAAATGTGGCACATATACACCATGGAATACTATGGAGCCATAAAAAGGGATGAGTTCATGTCCTTTGCAGGGACATGGATGAAGCTGGAAACCATCATTCTCAGCAAACTATCACAAGATCAGAAAACCAAGCATGTTCTCACTCATAAGTGGGAGTTGAACAATGAGAACACATGGACACAGGGAAGGGAACATCACACACTGGGGCCTGTCGGGGACTAGGGGGTTAGGGGAGGGATAACATTAGGAGACATACCTGATGTAGGTGACCGGTTGATGGGTACAGCAAACCACCATGGCACATGTATACCTATGTAACAAAACTGCACGTTCTGCATATGTATCCCAGAACTTAAAGTATAAAAAAAAAAATTCTTTTAGAAAAGTATTTTTTATTTTTATAGAGTTAGGGAGTACAGTTGCAGTTTTTGTTTGTTTGTTTGTTTTTTCTTGAGGAGTCTCACTCTGTCACCCAGGCTGGAGTGCAGTCGTGTGATCTCGGTTCACTGCAACCTCCGCCTCCTGGGTTCAAGTGATTCTCTTGCCTCAGCCTCCCGAGTAGCTGGGATTACAGGTGCTTGCCACCATGGCTGGCTAATTTTTGTATTTTTAGTAGAGACGGGGTTTTGCCATGTTGGCCAGGCTGGTCTCGAACTCCTGACCTCAGGTGATCTGCCCACCTTGGCGCTGGGGTTGCAGGTGTGAGCCACCACACCTGGTCACAGGTGCAGTTTTGTTACATGGATATATTGTGTAGTGGGGAAATCTGGGCTTTTAGTGTAACCATCACCAAAATACTGTACATTGTACCCAAAAGGTAATTGCTCATCCCTCACCCCCTCCCACCTTTCCAAGCCTCCAGTGTCTATTATTCCACACTCCATGACCCTGTATACACCCTGTTTAACTCCCACTTATAAGTGAAAACATGTGGTATTTTTTTTTGTTTCTGAGGGTTCTTTAAAAATCTTTATTTTCTTATTTTTTTCTGAGTTGTTTCACTTAAGATAATAGCCTCCAGTTCCACCCACGTTGCTGCAAAAGCCGTAATTTCATTCTCTTTATATGGCTGAGTAATATCCCCTGGTATACATATACAACGTTTTCTTTATCCCATCATCTGCTGATGGATACTTAGGTTGATTCCATATCTTTGCTCTTGTGAATTGTGCTGCAATAGATATACAAGTGCAGGTATCTTTTGGATAGAATGATTTATTTTCCTTTAAGAAGATACCCAGTAGTGGGATTGCTGGGTAGAATGGTAGTTCTATTTTTAGTTCCATGAGAAATTTCCGTGCTGTTTTTCATAGAGGTTGTACTAATTTACATTCCCACCAATAGTGTATAAGCATTCCCTTTTCTCCACATCTGTTGTTTTTTGACTTTTTAGAAAGTCTAGCCCTGGTAATATGTGTACAGATTTGAACAGCTGTTTGTTCTTTTGGCTCATCTGTTCTGTTACAATAAGTTAATGTTACTGGTGAAATAAAAACAGGTTATTAAGAATCAATGGCAAGGCTGAGCGTGGTGGCTCACGCCTCTAATCTCAGCACTTTGGGAGGCCGAGGTAGGTGGATTACTGAGGTCAGAAGTTCGAGACCAGCCTGACCAACATTGCAAAACCCCATCTCTACTAAAAATACAAAAATTAGCCAGCCATTGGTGGTGCACACCTGTAATTCCAGCTACTTGGGAGGCTGAGGCAGGAGAATTGCTTTTACCCAGGAGATGGAGGTTGCAGTGAGCCAAGATCACACCACTGCACTCCAGCCTGGGCGACAAAACAAGACTCCGTCTCAAAAAAAAAAAAAAAAATTACAAGTCTGTCCATAGCAGTTTAAAGAAATTTAAAAAGCCCCCATAGGAATATCTATTTTTCTTTAAATTTTTACATTTAAGACATTTAAGACAAAAAGGCAAACTAAAATGTATCTAGTGATAAACTGTACCACTACTGTACCCCATATGTTCAGTTCTATCTGAGTAAAAATAGAGTCTGGAATATAATATTGGCCCCCTACTCAGTCTTTCTGGATGGTACACAGGCTCTTTGAAAGAAGACAGTCTCATGTTAACAATTCAAAAAATTGTTTGAGATCCCTTAAGATAAATATCCCCCAAAACAGTGTACCTCTATTCCCTGCATAAAAATTTAGATTTGGAATGGTATGACCAGAGGAATAGATCCACTTCATGTTACTACAACAACAAAACTATCTAGGTCTGCTAGATGAATTTCCAGGGAATTATGCTGAGCAGAAAAAGCCAGTCCCCAAATGTGACATGTATAATTCCATTTATATAACATTCTTTTTCTTTTCTTTTTTTTTTTTTTTTTTTTTGTTGAGACAGGCTGTCACTCTGTTACCCAGGCTGGAGCGCAGTGGCACGCTCTCGGCTCACTGCAACCTCTGCCTCCCAGGGTCAAGCAATCCTCCCATCTCAGCCTCCAGAGTAGCTGGGACTACAGGTGCGTGCAACCATGCCCAGCTAATTTTTGTATTTTTCATAGAGACAGGGTTTCACCATGTTGCCCAGGCTGGTCTGGAACTCCTGATCTGAGGTGATCTACCCACCTTGGCCCCCCAAAGTGCTGAGACTATAGGCATGAGCCACCGCGTCCAGCCAGGATTCTTGAAAGGGAACATTTATAGACGCAAAGGATGGAATAGTGGTTGCCAGGGAGGAGGGAGGTGGGTGTGGCTTTAAAAGGGCAGCAGGAGGGATGATCCTGCAGTGATGGAATGTTCTGTCTTGATTGTAGCAACACCAATATGCTGATTGTGATATTATACTATAGTTTTGCATAACAGTTACCATTAAAGGAAATTGGGTAAAAGGCTACACAAATCTCTCTGTATTATTTCTTACAAATAAAAGGGAATCTGCAGTTACCTCAAAAAGTTTACTTTTAAAAATCGAGGTTGATTTCTCATCGGGAAAATTTTGGCAATCAAGATAATTCTCATCTTTCTAAATTTCGCCTAATGATAGACGTCTTCCACGATGATACCAAGGCCTAATTCCTTCAAAGAGAAGACATCATCAATGATAGACTTGGTGTCTTACAGTTGAGGGCTTGAAAACTCCTGAAAGTTGTTCCCATGTGGACTTTACCTCCACCAGGTAGAGATGCAGGGGAAAAAGCTTACCCCCAAAGCCTGGCATTTGTTCCATCATGAAACTTCAGTTTGCAGACTATACTGACTAAACATTTTTCAAATTAATAATCACGAATCCTAATTATTATTATTATTTTTGAGACAGAGTCTCATTCTGTCGCCAAGACTGGAGTGCAGTGGCATGGTCTTGGCTCACTGCAACCTCCACCTCCCGGGTTCAAGTGATTCTCTTGCCTCAGCTTCCCTAGTAGCTGGGATTACAGGCGTCCGCCACCACGCCTGGCTAATTTTTTTGTATTTTTAGTAGAGGTGGGGTTTCGCCATGTTGGCCAGGCTGGTCTTGAACTCCTGACCTCAGCTGATCCGCCCGTCTCAACCTCCCAAAATGCTGGGATTACAGGCGTGAGCCACCATGCCCGGCCTCCCAATTACTTTTATACCAATCTTTCAGTAAGGGAACCCTGGAAATAGTATCAAATTAAAGGATAAAGTACAACACATACTACAACATAATTTGCTTAAGACTATTTGTAGCCTAAACTCAAAGTGCCTCCCCCAAATAGTTAATTTTATATTTTTTGTACTTTGTTTAAAAAGAGTGATAAATTTAGGAAAATACCACCTGTATGCATTTTCCTTAATCTTATTTACTAAGACCTTATGTACTTTTTATTTTTGAGATAGGGTCTCACTCTGTCACTCAGGCTGGAATGCAATGACATGATCCTAGCTCACTGCAACCTTGACCTCCTGGGCTCAAGCGATCTTTCAGCCTCAGCCTTCCAAGTAGCTGGGACTACAGGTGCACGCCACCATGCCTGGTTGATTTTTAAAATCTTTTGTAGAGACAGGGGTCTCCCAAACTCCTGACCTGAAATGATCCTGCTACTCAGCCTCCCAAAGTGCTGGAATTACTGGTGTTGAGCCACTGAGCCTGGCTCCTATTTCTGCTTTTCTTTTTCTCTTGGTTCCTGTTTACTTCCAGCTGTTGTGCTTTCTCCCTAAGTCAAGTTCAAGTTATTGCTGAGTGAGGCTGAGGCAGCCTCTTAGGTGTGAGATTTGTGCTTGGCCACTCCCTTTGTCACAGGCAACACTCTAGATTGGTTGTCCACTGGGGGGACGATCCAGGTCCCAGCCAGACATGCCAGGGTGGCAGAGCCCCCCAGTAAGTGGTGTAGAATAAACTCCTTAGAGGGGTGGGGTATAGGCATTCTGACGACTTGCCTGCACAGGTGACAATAATTATTTTGGGATCTCTTTTAACAAAGCAGTAGGTTACATTTTCTTACTATGTGGGGCTATTCTACATTTGAAAAAATGAGATCAAGCTTTGAGACACGGTATGCCATTGAAACAATCATTTACTTCAAGCATTTCCCCTGTTAATCATCTTCACCATTAAACTAACTGAAGGAAAAAATGGATAATTTACTAATCATGAATTTTGTCGACAAACTTCCCATAAAGGAGAATCAAGTGAGATTTTAATAGGAAGATAAAAGACTCTGCCAGAAGTATTTTTTTTTTTTTTTTTTTTGAGACAGAGTCTGGATCTGTCACCCAGGCTGGAGTGCAGTGGAGCGATCTCGGTTCACTGCAAGCTCCACCTCCCAGGTTCACACCATTCTCCTGCCTCAGCCTCCCGAGTAGCTGGGACTACAGGTGCCCACCACCACGCCCGGCTAATTTTGTGTATTTTTAGTAGAGATGGGGTTTCACGGTGTTAGCCAGGACGGTCTCGATCTCCTGACCTCGTGATCCGCCCGCCTTGGCCTCCCAAAGTGCTGCCAGAAGTATTCTTTACTGGCTTGACCTTTGTCCCCAGATACGTAAATATATTTATGTAACGAATCTCCCTGACAGTAGAAAATGTGTAATTTCCAATCTGAATAAAACTGAGCTATATCTGAATAACTGAGAAGAGTATGATATTACTTTGATTATTTTAAAAGTGAAAGGGAAAATATCTAAAAATTGGATATCGATGATACTTCTAGACACTTGATTATGTAGTTCTTGATTAATTTCTCGTTCGCAGGATCCAGAAGATAAAAGTGACCCCCTGGAAGCTGGTAAATTTTAGCATTTCCACTGGTTACATCTTTCCAGGCTGAAAATAAACAAGATTGTATTCAATAACAACACCAACAGCAACTAAAGATTCACATCAAGACATCATTTCTTTAAGAGCTGACACCCTGAAGTACGGTTACTTTCAAGGCCTTATGTTCTAGGTGATGAAGCAGGAGCATTGCCATCTTGGACAAGCCCCTCATTCTAAAGTTTACCTTAATCAAAAACCACCTAAATCCAAAAGGCATCATCAGCCTAATGGCTAAGGTCACCATAACCATAAACCATAGATAACATCTCCAACCAGAAACGTTCCAAACTCCTCCCTGACCAGAGACATGTTAGCCCCAAGATAACCCCCCTCTGGCCAGGAAGATGACGGCCTCGAGATAACCTTGCTTCCGGCCGCCAGAAAGATGTCTGCCCCAAGAAAGCCTCCCCTCCTCCCAGAGACATTCCAACCCTACCATAAAACTTCTCGCTCACACAGAAACATTCCAAGCTTGTAATAAGCCCCTCACCCTAAAACCAATATATACTCTTCATCTGTAAGAGAAAGTGCTCCTGATGGAAGTCTGCCAGGAGCCCCTCTCAGGTTTTATCTAAAGAAAACCTGTCTTTGACTGTTAAGCTGCATTTTGTTTGTCTTTCCTCTTTCTTTAACTCTTACACTAGGTGTCCTGCATTTTTTATTTCTTTGAGACCTATCAGTATACAGCAGTTCTCTCATTTTACACAAGACCAACATCTCTCCTTTTACACTAAATACAACTTCAACTAATTTTTTACTCATTGCAGTAACTACTAGTTGACATTGGTCAAAAATCATCGAACGTAAATATATACACCTACTATGTACCCATAAAAATTAAAAAAAAAAATTTTAAAAGCTGGCCAGGCATGGTGGCTCATGCCTATAATCCCAGCACTTTGGGAGGCCGAGGCAGGCAGATCATGAGGTCAGGAGTTCGAGGCCAGCCTGGCCAACATGGTGAAACCCCATCTCTACTAAAAATACAAAAAATAGCCGGGTATGGTGGCCGGCACCTGTAATCCCAGCTACTCAGGAGGCTGAGGCAGGAGAATCGTTTGAACCTGGGAGGCGGAGGTTGCAATGAGCTGAGATTGCGCCATTGCACTCCAGCCTGGGTGACAGGGCGAGACTCTGTCTCAAAAGAAAAAAAAAAATTTTAAAGCCATCAAACATATATTTCAATACAATACTCGAGACTAAAAATAATTTCACCTTCCATGTCCTTTGCTATGTCTTCAGATCCAACAAAACATGTCAAGTCACAGGAAAGAACAGCCTTAGATGGTACGTTAGAGCTATAAACATAAAAGAGCTGGTTAGTAATTGTTTGAAATCAACATCCCAGAATCTTTTCCTGTTCCTAATGTCAATGAAACTTGGGGTGGGTTCACTTCTTTTCTTTGGCTACTCTAGCAGTGTAAAACATTTTTCACCAATGGCACTTCTACCTGTCAAAGCCTGCCTGAGACTCAGTGTGGAGACTAATTTCCAATATCTAACTTCTAGGATGTGACACGTGGCAGCAGGATGGCACTGGGGCACACAGTTCAACTCAAGGTAAGGCTGGTGGAACCAGTCCTTTAAACTGTCATCAGAAACGAAGACCTCTT
Source organism: Homo sapiens (assembly GCF_000001405.40). NCBI lineage: Eukaryota > Metazoa > Chordata > Mammalia > Primates > Hominidae > Homo > Homo sapiens. Next base: position 15,071,479 of record NC_000010.11, on the reverse strand, counting down.
TAGTAACTCTTAGCTCTCCTTGGCCCAGCAGAGGGTTGCTCTGCACAGAACCTCACAACAGCAGCAAACGTGTTTATTGAGTCAGAGGCTCAGTGCTGCACTAGACACTAGGGGCACGTGGAGAAACAAACACAGTCCCTGCCCTCTTGCAGCTGAGAGACTGGCTGGGAGAGAGACATTACAGAAACAATCATTCAACTAGAGAGAGATGGAAGGTGCTATCAAGTCCAGGGGGATGGAGAACTGTTGGCAGGAGGGAGGAGGTGGGGACAGGGTCAAGGCAAGTCTCCTGGGAAAGGGGAGAGGATCTGAAGCCTGAATGAATAGAGAAGAACCAGTCAAAGGGCATAGAGCCAGCAGGGAGAGAGGGAAGAGAAAGACAACAAATTAATGGCTAGGTCAGGTGTGATGGTTCACACCATAATACCAGCACTTTGGGAGGCCAAGGCAGGAGGATCACTTAAGGCCAGGAGTTTGAGACCAGCCTGGGCAACATAGCAAGACCCCATTTCTACTACATAAAAAAATTAGCCAGGTGTGGTGTCATGTACTTGTAGTTCCAGCTACTCGGGAGGCTGAGGTGGGAGGATCACTTGAGCCCAGGAGGTCAAGGCTGCAGTGAGCTGTGATTGCACCATTGCACTCCAGCCTGAGCAACAGAGTAAGATCCTGTCTCAAAAAAAAAAAAAAAAAAAAAAAGTTCAGGCGTGGTGGCTTACGCCTGTAATCCCAGCACTTTGGGGGGCCGAGGTGGGTGGATCACCTGAGGTTGGGAGTTCAAGACCAGCCTGACCAACACGGGAAACCCCGTCTCTACTAAAAATACAAAACTAGCAGGACATGGTGGTGCATGCCCGTAATGAGCTACTTGGGAGGCAGAGGCAGGAGAATCCCTTGAACCTGGAAGGCAGAGGTTGCGGTGAGCCAAGATCACACCACTGCACTCCAGCCTGGTCAACAAGAGCGAAACTCCATCTCAAAGAACAAAGCAAAACAAAACAACAACAACAAAAAAGGCTATTGTTCAGAGAACAAAGTGGAGTATTGGGACAAATTAAGGTATAAGAGGTATGCAGGTATAAGTCTAGTTGGTTGTCCTAAGAGTGAAAGGAAGTCACCAAAAAGATCAAACAAGGTACACCATGATCAAACTGGACTTCTATCCTCTGGATAGAGTGTGGATAACGGATCGGAGGGGGACCAAGTGTATGTGATAGGCCCAAGTGAGTGGGACTTGCAGTAATCCCAGCAAGGATTTGCTCCTGCCTGGAATGTAAAAAAGCAGCAGCACCCCACACTCCATCCTAACAATGAGAGGAAAAAAAAAAAAAACAGAGAAACTGCAGCATCATGACTTGTCGTGAACTCAACAGAGAGCTGTGTTTGCAAGGCAAGTTAGAAATCAAATTCCAAGGAAGACAGACTCCCACTACAGAGAGATGGGGCCAGTAGACAGGGTCAGATGGCACAATGTCCAGGCGGAAGAGGTATCTGCTGTACATGCGATAAGACTCAAATCAGCCGAAATTTTAAAGTGTTGGAGACACAGTGAGAACGGTGTGTTAGATGGAGTTCCCACTGACTCACAGCCTCTTTTGTCTTTTTTTGTTTTTTTAGATGGAGTCTCGCTCTATTGCCCGGGCTTGAGTGCAATGGCGTGATTTCAGCTCATTGCAACCTCTGTCTCCTGGGTTCAAGTGATTCTCCTGCCTCAGCCTGTCGAGTAGCTAGGATTACAGGTGTCTGCCACCACATCCAGCTATTTTTGTATTTTTAGTAGAGATGGGGTTTCGCCATGTTGGCCAGGCTGGTCTCGAACTCCTGACCTCAAGTGATCCGCCCGCCTTGGCCTCTGAAGGTGCTGGGATTCCAGGCATGAGCCACCGTGCCCAGCCATGCAGCCTCTTTTCCATGGGCCTCCACTAGGGGTTGACGAGAACAATTAGGAGTGAGGCGAGAGGCTAGAGAGACACCTCCACAGGGCAGTTAGTTAGCTGTGGCAATTGGACTGGCACTAGACTGCCACCTGACCAGGTCTGCTCTCATTGTAAGCAGAAGCCTTAAGCTGCTGGAAGAGGGGCATGAAACCCTCTCGCCACCAGGGTGCAGGTGAAGCCCTGTGGCTGCTGCAGGGAGGATAAAAGCATAAGCCCTCTACCCCTGAGGAAGGGATGAGAAACAATTCTACACCAAAACCAAGCAGAGTTCTGCTGCTTGCAGGAAGGGGCAGGAATCTTCCACCAAGGCAACCACAGATAGAAGGCAAAAATGTGTTTGCAAGAGAGAAGGAGCAGGCATGCTGAGAAAGCCCCACTCACAGAACCCAGGCACGGGGACGCTACCTAGAATTCATGCTTCAGACTATCTAGATGTCCAGGAACTCCCTGTGTTACCCACAGGCTAACATACATTGAGTAACAAGCAACAGCTGTCTACATTGGGGAGGGCAACAGGAGGAAGAGAGGCTGTTCTATGAGTCACAGGGAACATTGAACGCCAAGGGTAGGGCAGGACTGCTGAGAAAAGGTCTGGAACAACTGCATCCCACACCAGACACATAGCAGAGGATTATATACCAGAGGATTTGAGAGCTGGTGGTGCACTCAAGGTCATCACAGCAACAACAAAACCCTACCCAGCTCAAGCCCAGTCTAGACTAACTCAATTCCCCACACTAACGGCCTGTCAAAAAGCAGAGACGTGTTCAAATTCAGGTGTAAAACATTACCTTCAGTCTCTACTGTTTTTATGCATGATAACTGGCTTTTGATTTTATAAAATTATCACTGGGCACGGTGGCTCATGCCTGTAATGCCAGCACTTTGGGAGGCCGAGGTGGGGTGGATCACCTGAGGTCAGGAGTTCGAGACCAGGCTGGCCAACATGATGAAACCCCGTCTCTACTAAAAATACAAAAAAATTAGCTGGGTGTGGGGGCACGTGTCTGTAATCCCAGCTACTCGGGAGGCTGAGGCAGGAGAATTGCTTGAACCCAGGAGACGGAGGTTGCAGTGAGCTGAGATCGCGCCATTGCACTCGAGCCTGGGCAATAAGAGCAAAGCTCCATCTCAAATAATAATAGTAATAATGATTATCAGACACACAAGAAAGCAAGAAATAACCCATTGTTAAGAGGCAAAGCAGTCAAAAGAATCAGACACAGATAAGACCCAGATGTTGGAACTCTCAAACAGGGACTTTAAAATACATAGGATTAATTTATCAACAGATTTAGTGGAAAAGGTGGCTAACATTCATGAACACATGGGGAATTTCATTAGAAAGGTAAAAACCAGAAGAGAGTCAAATGGGATTTCTAGAAATAACAGAAATGAAGAAGTTCTTTGACAGGCTCATCAGTAGACTTGATACAGCTGAAGAAAGTCAGCGGCCTTGAAGACAGTCAGAGGAAATTATTCACACTGAAACACAAAGGAAACTTTAAAAAAAGAAACAAAACAGAACTTGCAAGAGATTTGGGATGATATCAATTATGAAACACCCTAGTGTATGTGGCATCAGGATCCCAGAGGAGGAACAGTAACAATAGTCCGAAGCAAGAGAGGAGGACAGATTATATGAGCTGAAGTAGTCACAGCTTCTGGCACTTCTCGGCTGACAATTTCCATTTTGGCCAGTAGCTCTGAGCTTTAGTGGTAGTGATGGGGAAAGAGAACTGGAAAAAACTCTGTAGGCCTGATTTCATTTGTATTGGAAAAAGCAGGGAGATAACGAGGACGTGGGAGAGATCAGATTGAAAAGGAGAAGGTGCAGGAGGGCAGGATTTGGAAGAGTTTTTGAAATTTGGAGAGAGGACGTTAAAATTTGTGAGTAACTACTGCAATTTGGCTCACTGGAGAAAGGGTGAGAATGTCAACATTTTCTACATTCTGTGAGTAGAATATCCCCATGAATGATTTATGTTAATGTGTTACTTCTGGTGTTTTGGAGGTTTCTTTGGAGTGAAAAAACTCATTGGTTGTGAGTTTTTTGGTTGTGTTTTGTTTTTTAAAAATAGCTCATGGTTTGTTGTGTGCCAGACGCTCCCCTCTACCAAGCAGTTAATTCTCACACAACACCTTGAAAGGTGCTATTCTTATCCCTTCTTTGATGAGATGAGACACAGACCGTTAAAGAAACTTGCTCAGAATCTCGCAGTGAGTAAGACACAGGGTTTCAGTCTGCTAAGCGGACTCTAAAGATGGCATGTTTCACCATTGTGCAAGGCTTAATTATTAAAAGCCAGCTTTTGCATCCATGATTGCATTGAATGTCCATGGTGATTTGGATTACTTCTCAGTTTTTTCAATTTTGTTTTAAATTCGCAAATAACAATTGTATAAATTGGTGAGGTACACTGTGATATTTTGATATAAGTATACATTATGGAAAGATTAAGTCAAGCGAATTAACATATCCATCACCTCATATACTTAACTTTTTAAAATGATGTGCACAGGTAAAATCTACTTTCTTAGCAATTTTGAAATACACATGTGTAGTCACAGTGCTGTGCAGTAGATCTCAAAAACTTAGTCCTTGCTGAGCACAGTGGCTCACGCCTATAATCCCAATACTTTGGGAGGCTGAGGTGGGTGGATCACCTCAGGTCAGGAGTTTGAGACCAGCCTGGCCAACAAGGTGAAAACCCGTCTCTACTAAAAATGCAAAAGTAGCTGGGTGTGGTGGCGGGTGCCTGTAATCCCAGCTACTCGGGAGGCTGAGGCAGGAGAATCGCTTGAACCTGGAAGACGGAGGTTGCAGTGAGCCAAGATCACACCACTGCACTCCAGCCTGGGCGACAAAGTGAGACTCCATCTCAAAAATAAATAAATAAATAAATAAATAAATAAATAAATAAATAAATAAATAAAATAAAAATAGGAAAGATTATTGGGGAAGGATTTACAGAGTATCAGGACTTCAGTTCTATCAGAAGAATCAAGTGTCTATACAGACATCCCATGAGACAAGGGAATGGAGAGATATTCATAGAACTTAATGAGTTCTGGAACAAAATGTACAAAAAAGCAAACCTAGCAAATTTCTCCACACTGGTTTGCCTCCACACTTACAATAAGTAACAATCTATTTCTGCTGACCCTTCTAAGAAGATGAAAATGCTTTGGCATTAATTTATTCAACAGATATTTACTATGTTATTATGAGATAAAATATACATGTCTAATCATATATTTTTTAAAGAAAAATACATGCTAGACTTTTTTTTTTTTTTTTTGAGATGGAGTCTCACTCTGTTGGCCAGGCTGGAGGGCAGTGGTATGATGTTAGCTCACTGCAACCTCCGCCTCCTGACTTCAAGTGATTCTCCTGCCTCAGCCTCCCAAGTAGCTGGGATTACAGGTGTGCACCATCACATCTGGCTTATTTTTGTATTTTTGGTAGAGATGGGGTTTTGCCATGTTGGCCAGCCTTGTCTTGAACTCCTGGCCTTAAATGATCCACTGGCCTTGGTCTCCCAAAGTGCTGGAATTATAGGCATGAGTCACTGTGCCTGGCCATGCTAGACATCTTTTACAGATACAATTTCTGTGCCTAGGCTCCATTCTAAACCAGTATACATACCATAGGTGGCCCCAAAGGAAATGAAACCAAACTCTTAGAATTTTGTCTTCCCACATAAGCAACCTCAGAGCACTGCCAATCTATGTTTTTCTACAAATAATTGTACCAAAAAAAGAAAAAACCTTGTTTCTGTTACTTACGTGCAACTTCTAACAATGTTCAGATCTGCCCTTATGATGGGACTACATTGTTTCACAAATTCCTTGGCTTCAGCAAAATGCTTGGGGGTGCCTCCAAATTCCATAAGGTAATGACTTATTTGTTCTTCTGACAATTCATCATCTTTGGGAATGCGATGCCAGGCCTTTGACTTGAAACATGAACAACAACACAGGCCTGATATTTCATATAACACACTTGGCTCATAAACTGAAAACTGTTGATCTAAGGGAAAAGTCATTAAACCAAGGCTGGGAAGTAGACTGCTTTATCTATAGGCTTCAGGAAAGAACTATGTCGTTTTGAAAGTAGGGAGAAGAAGGCTCATCAGTAATAACTACAGCATCATAATGCCACCAAAATGGCTTTGTAGATTTAGAATCCTGGGACAGGCAGGATCTTTCTCCAGATGAAGTGGGAAAGACCAAAGAGGTAGGAGGAAGAGCAGCAGGAGCAACAGCACCAGGTTTAAAAAGCCATGGTAGTCCTAAGAACTTGACATCACTGTCCCCTTTTAACATTTCAAGGAGTCTTTCCTGGTTCTGATCCAGTTACTTTGCTCAAAGTTGGTTAAGTTCCCAGCTGACCCACAATGAAGGAAAAAGCACTATGGTCAGCATTAGCTCAGAGACGCCAGGAATAGTACCAGTAGGAAACAGCTGAAGTGCATTTCAGGGAAACAGAGAATGATATTGAAAGAGATTTAAGGGACTTTTCAACAGCAAGTATTAGGTTGGTGCAAAATCAATTGTGGTTTTTGCCGTTGCAAGTAATGGCAGGCTGGGTGTGCTGGCTCACACCTGTAATCCCAGCACTTTGGGAGGCTGAGGTGGGTGGATCACCTGAGGTCAGGAGTTCAAGACCAGCCTGGCCAACATGGTGAAACCCCATCTCTACTAAAAATACAAAATTAGCTGGCTGTGGTGGTGCTCGCCTGTAGTCCCAGCTACTCAGGAGGCTGAGACAGGAGAATCTCTTGAACCCAGTAAGCAGAGGTTGCAGTGAGACAAGATCGTGCCACTGCACTCTAGCCTGGGCAGCAGAATGAGACTCCATCTCGGAAAAAGAAAGTAGTGGCAAAAACCTCAATGGCTTTTGCACCAACCTATTAGTATCCCCACCATCATCATCATACTGGACCAGAATTCACCAGATAGAGAAATAATGGCTTATTTTTATCCCCATTTCCCTGCTCTCCACTGCCCTTCCTAGGAAAAAGCTAAATTACTTACATGTACAGGAGTTGCACTTGACAAAAATAAATGCAATGGTTCTGGTTGATTGTTTTCTTTTAGACCTAGTGCAGTCCTAAAAGCAATGTAGGATCCCATACTAAATTCAGCAAAGAAAAACATGACAAGAACTGTTAAGCAAAACTCGTGATGATCCACCGAAAGTCAAAAGGAACAGTATCATAAACACAACAATGATCATGTAATAGATGAAAGGAAAGTGTGAGTTGATTAAGAAGTCTATCTTTTCAGTGATTTAAATCAGCATAAAAACTGTTTCAAAGACAGCCTAGATAATTCACTCTAAGATTTAGTACTGATTTGCACAGTGTCTTCAAATTAATTTAAATTTCCTTTTCTTCCTTAAAGGTGTGTATCACTGTGTCTTTAACAGTATATATCCGCAGTTCTCAAAATACGGTTTAGGGACCCCTGGAAATTTCTGAGATCCTAATGGATGGTCCATGAGGTCAAAGCTATTTTCAGGATAAATACTAAAATGTTATTTGCCTTTTTTACTCTAATGAATACACAGTGGAGTTTTCCAGAAGCTATATGACATGTGATACAGCAACAATTTGAATGCAGAGACAGAAATGAGAATCCATCTGCCTTCTATTATGTCAGACATTAAGCAGATTTGCAAAAGTATCAAATGATGCCACTCTTCTCACCTTCTCACATTTTTTTGGAAAATATAGTCTTTTTCATTAAAATATATTGTTTATGTCAATGTATAATAGGTTTGTTAATGTTATTTTTAGGTAAGTTAATAAACGTCTTTAAAATTTCTTAGTTTTTCCTTTCAGTATGATAAATATCGCCAGATATATCACATATAAACAAAAGCTCTTTGAGTTCCTCAATGCATCTTAAAAGTATAAAGGGGTACTGGGATTGAAAATGTTGATATTATGTAAATACATTTGGTTGACAAAACTGCCAGAGGTTGCTTATTTGTAAATTGCACATGTATATATTTTCTGAAAGAAAGGGAAACTCAGCACCATGTTCATTGCGCATGGAGTGTAAAGTGCAGGTAATTTGGAAATATATAGCAACAACTTCTACAGGCTGGATGCAGTGCCTCGTATCTGTGATCCCAACATTTTGAGAGGCGGAGGTGGGTGGATCACTTGGGCCCAGGAGTTGGAGACCAGCCTGGGCAACATGGCGAAACTCCATCTCTATAAAACATCAGTGACAAGAAATTAGCAGGGTGTGGTGGCATGCTCCTGTAGTCAGCTACTTGGGAGGCTGAGGTGGAAGAATCACTTGAGCCTGGCAGACAGAGGTTGCAGTGAGCCATGATTGCACCACTGCCCTGCAGCCTGGGTGACAGAGCAAGACCCTGTCTTGAAAAGAACTTTAACAATGTGCATATTGTTTAACATAAATTCTGAGAATTTATCCTAAAAAACTGATAGGAGATTTATACTAAATTTTCTATAAGAATGTTCATTGGGCTGGGTGCCACAGCTCACACCTGTAATCCCAGCACTTTAGCAGGCCAAGGCAAGTGGATCACTCGAGGTCAGCAGTTTGAGACCAGTCTGGCCAACATGGTGAAACCCCAACTCCATTAAAAATATAAAAATTAGCCAGGTATGGTCGTGTGTGCCTGTAATTCCAGCTATTTGAGAGGCTAAGGTGGGAGGATTGCTTGAACCCATGAGGTGTAGGTTGCAATGAGCTGAGATCGTGCCACTGCACTCCAGCGTGGGTGACACAGTGAGACTCTGTCTCAAAAAAAAAAAAAAAGAATGTTCACTGGACTATTGTTTATAACAGAAAAAGATAGAAATAGCTCATATCCACAAAAGGAGGTTAATCAAACAAATCATGAAGCAATGTATACTTACAGGATGTGAAAGATATTTATGGCAATAATATAAATATATTTAATTTAATATTACTATAATATAAATATTATAGCAATAAACATCTTTCACATCCTGTGAGTGTACATTGCTTTTAAGTGAAAAAGATCAAGTAAATATATAAAACCAGACCCCATTGTGTAAAAATACTAAGGAACTACATCAGAATTTTAAAGCATTGTTATCTGGGTAGTAGGATGATGGATACTTTTTATTTTTCAATTTCTGCTTGACCATATTTGTAAATCTTATATAATAGCCAAAATTTATTGATTCCTTACTATATACCAATTTATTTAAGATCACTATTCATTTAAGCCTCACAAATGGGAACTATTGTTATTGTACCCTTATAGAAAAAGGAACTAACTCAGAAGCCTAAGAAATTTTCCCAAGGTCATACAACTGATAAGAGATAGCCAGAACCCCAGGGTCTCTGACTTAACCTCAGAATTATACAACGTAGCTTAAGAAACATATACTCTTTGCATAATTTCTTATTTCAAAAATAAATAGAATGTAAGCTGCTGTTAAAGTCTTGGTTTTACAAGTGTTGACTTTATTTGCCTAAAAGGAAAAAAAATAGGTATACTTACCATACAAACTGGTGAATTGTAAAAGTTGTGATGGCCATAATTACCTAACATGCTGTCTAACCAATACAAAGGTATGCATCTTACAAAACACAAAGAATAACATTAACCTCAAACTTCAGATAGAAGAAACTCCCCTGAAGTCTTTTAAAACAGATATCAAATACCTGTGGCCAAAAAATGCAAATGGTTTATCCTGGATGACTGGCTGCAGAGCACAAACAACTTCATCAACTAACTGGGAGATGTCATTTTCAAGAGGTTCTTCAACTCTGCTTTCTCTTCCAGGAAGCCTTAAGGAGTGCACTGGAGATGGAGAAACACAAGTGAACACGCACAGACAGTGAATGAGATATTGTGATGTTATAAAAGGGCTCATATTTACCTGATGGAAAAAATTTCAAAGAAATGAATGATAACAGTTAAGTCCAGCAAGGTAAAAGTTTTAGAATTTGCTGATAATAAAAGCAAGAAGATAAAATATAGCAGACTAAGAATCTGCTCACAATAAGATAAAGGGAACACCTAGAAGAAAAAGAAAAAAAAAAACAAAGGAACTGAAAATTCCATTGATGATCATGTGCTGATGAAATGCTTACCCCAACAACCGTTACCTATATCAGGAAAATAAAACATCAGGTTTCAAGGGTGACCTAGAGGGTCAGGAGATAAGGCACTGGAATGCATTAAATTTGAGAGTTAGAACTGAGTCCTTTACACAAAGCTAAGAAACCCTAAATTCTAGACCCTCTGTGAAAAAGTAGACTACAAATAAAGTATTTATTCTCCAAATGGCAAAGGAGAAAAGAAGAACTTTCTGATTTTGCCTTGGCTCTGGATGGGGGAAAAAGTCTGCCCTTAGATTTTTTTAAACAAAGCCTTGTATTTATGCAAATTTGAAGTTTATTTATGTTATCTTGGTAGACTGGAGTGCAGGTAACATAAATAAACTTCAAATTTATAGAAAGTGAAGCAGAAAAATAACTTGAAATGACCCTGGGCTAGTAGCACTTCAGGATGCCTAACAGAAACAATGACAAGTCATCTCCTAATGAATAAATACACAATCTAAGCATCTCCAGAATCAAACATCAAGCTGATCCCAAATAACTTATTGGCTTGCTTGCTAGAGCAAAGTCTAACACACTGTACAGGAATACAACAAAATCCAGGACCCAACAATGTAAAACTCACAATGTCTAACTTCTAATCAAAACTCACCAGACATGCCAAAAAGCTGGAAGGTATGACCCATAACAACTCCAGGGAGAGCATCAAACGTAAGAAACAGAAGAGAAATAACAAAAGATGGAGTCAGCAGACAAGGACCTTAAACGGTTATTAAATACAAATGTGCTCACTAATGTGAATGAAAACATGAACATGATAAGAACAGAAACTAAAGATTTTTAAAAGACCCAAATGGAACTCGTAGAGATGTAAAATATCTGAAAAATTTTTAAAAACACCAGATGGGATTAACAGCAGACTAGATACCAAGAAGAAAAAGATCAGTGAACTTAAACATAGAAAAAGAAACTATCCACAATTAAGCATGTTGGCCAGGCATAGTGGCTCACACCTGTAATCCCAGCACTTTGGCAGGCCGAGGTGGGCCGATCACTTGAAGTCAGGAGTTCAAGACCAACCTGGCCAACAGGGTGAAACCCCATCTCTACTAAAAATACAAAAATTGGCTGGGCGTGGTGGCATGCACCTGTAGTCCCAGTTAGTTGGGAGGCGGAAGCAGGAAAATCACTTGAGCCTGGGAGGCAGAGGTTGCAGTGAGTCAAGATCATACCACTGCACTCCAGCCTGGACGACAGACTGAGACTCTGTCTTCAAAATAAAAAAAAAGAAAATTAAGTGTAGAAAGAACATGACAAAATAAATGCACAGCTGATGAGTACACTGTGGTACACTATAAATCGATCTAACATAGGTGTAATTGGAGTCCCAGAAGGAGAGAAGAGAAGAGGGAAACAGAAAAACATTTGAAAAAAAATAGTGGCTGAATATGTCAAAATTTGAAACTTACAAAGTCGTAGATCCAAGAAGTTCAAGGAAACTCAAACAGAATAAACAATGAAAACCACACCAAGGCTTGTCCATCAAATTGCTAAAAACACTTGATAAAAAGATGATGTTAAAAAGCAGCCACAGAAGAGAGACATAGATACAAAGGTAATGGCAAAACATTTCTTATTTATTTATTTATTTTTTTGAGAAGGAGTCTTGCACTCTTTCTCAGGCTGGATTGTAGTGGTGCCATCTTGGCTCACTACAACCTCTGCCTTCCAGATTCAAGTGATTCTCCTGCCTCACCCTCCCAAGTAGCTGGGAATACAGGCACATGCCACCACACCCGGGTAATTTTTGTATTTTTAGTAGAGACGGGGTTTCACCATGTTGGCCAGGCTGGTCTCAAACTCCTGACCTCAAGTGATCTGCCCACCCTGGCCTCCCAAAGTGCTAAGATTACAGACATGAACCACTGTGCCCAGGCCATGACAGCACATTTCTTATTAGAAATTGTTCAAGCCTGCCAGGTGCGGTGGCTCATGCCTGTAATCCCAGCACTTTGGGAGGCCGAGGCTGAAGGTGCTTGAGCCCAGGAGTTTGAGACAGCCTGGGCAATGAAGTGAGACCTTATCTCTATAAAAAAAATTAAAAATATCAGCTGAGTGTGGTGGTGCACATCTGTAGTCCCAGCTACTTGGGAGGCTGAGGCAGGAGGATTGCTTGAGCCTGGGAGGTTGAGGCTACAGTGAGCCGTGATTGTGCCACTGCACTGAAGCTGGGAGACAGGATGAGATGGACGGATGGATGGACAGATGGAGGGGAGGGAAGGGGAGGGGAGGAAAGGGAAGGGGAGAGGGAGGGAAGGGGAGAGGGAGGGAAGGGGGGAGGGAGGGAGGGAAGGAGAGAGGGAGGGAGGGAGGGAAGGAAGGGAAGGAGAGAGGGAAGGAAGGGAAGGGATGGAAGGAGAGAGGGAAGGAAGGGAAGGAGGGAAGGAGAGAGGGAAGGAGAGAGGGAAGGAGAGAGGGAAGGAGAGAGGGAGGGAGGGAAGGAGGGAGGGAAGGGAAGGAGAGAGGGAAGGAGGGAAGGAAGGGGAGAAATAGGGCAAGCCAGAGAACAATACTAGGGGGTAGGAAGGGAGGGAACAACTGTCACCCTGGCATTCCATATCCTGTGACAATATCTTTCAAAAGTGGAAGTTAAAGACTTTTTAGACACATAAAACCCACGAGAATTCAATGCCAGCAGACTTGCACTAAAATAAATATTAAAGGAACTTCTTCAGGCAGAATAAAAATAATGTCAGATGAAAATCTGGATCTACTTTAACAAAGGTAATCATGTAAATATATATAAAAGATTATTTTTTATCATTTTGTTTTTCCCCCCCACAAACTCAGAAGTTCTTACTAAACATTTTTTTTCACTTTAAAATCACTAAAAAAGACAGCTGACTGCTCTACACAAAATTGATAAGTAGAAAAGTGTTTTACAAAAGTAGCACAAAGGTCAAGAGAGAGGAATGGAATAACACTCTTATAAGATTCTTTCATTAAAAATGAACTGGTATAATAAAATTTGAAAGTAGACTGTGATCATTTAAAGATGTGTTTTGGAAGGCTAAGTGCAGTGGCTCATGCCTATAATTCCAGCACTTTGGGAGGCCAAGGTGGGAGGATTGCTTTGGCTCAGGAGTCCAAGACCAGCCTAGGCAACATAGGGAGACCCCATGTGCACGAAAAACTTAAAAAAAAAAATTAACCAAGCATGGTGGCACATTCCTATAGTCCCAGCTACTCAAGAAGCTGAAGCAGGCCAGAAACAAAAAATGACAAAATATTGCTAAATCAAAACAATACTTTTTAAACTGGAGAAACAGATCTCACTCATGGATCAATATTGTTATGATGTCAATTTTCCCAAAATGGATCTATAACTTCACGGCAACCCCAAACAAAATCTCAGGAAATTGATAAGCTGATTTTAAAAGCTGTATGGAAATGCAAAGGACTTAAAATATCCAAAACAACATTCAGAAAGAAGAACAAAGTTGGAGAACTTATGCTACTGGATATCTAAGGCTTATTATAAGGCCACAGTAATCAAGATAGTATACTTTTGGAGTAAACATAGACGTATAGATCGGTGGAGTAAGAGAATCCAGAAATAGACCTACACATGGACTCGCAGATACTCATTTTTTTCCATGAAGGCATCAAGGAAACATCCCAATTACCCTGAGACTTCCCTGCTGCTAGAATGAAGATGCTGTGTTTCTGGTATCATATGAGGCAAGTACACCAATGGGACAGAATAGAGAACCCGGCCCAGGCACGGTGGCTCATGCCCATAATTCCAGCACTTTGGGAGGCCGAGGCAGGTGGATCACCTGAAGTCAGGAGTTTGAGTCCAGCCTGACTAACATGGCAAAACCACATTTCTACTAAAAATATGAAAATTAACCAGGCATAGTGGCTCATGCCTGTTATCACAGCTACTCGGAAGGCTGTGGCAAGAGAATCGCTTGAACCCAGGAGGCAGAAGCTGCAGTGAGCTGAGATTGTGCCATTGCACTCCAGAGCGAGACTCCATCTCAAAAAAAAAAAAAAAAAAAAGCCCAGAAATAGACCCACATACATGTGAAAACTCAATTTACAATTCAACTGACACTTAAAACCAGTGGGGGAATGTATAGACCTCTCAGTAAGCGTTGCTAAGCCAACTGGCTATTCATGTGGTATAAGTAAACTTGGATATCTAGCTCACACTATATACAAAAGGCAGGCTCAAATATGACAAAATACTTTAGAATTGATAGAAGAAAAATAGGCAAATAACTGTGACTTGGGGTTAGGGTATAGGGTTAGGTTAGGCTTGCTTTTAAAGCAAGCCATAAAAAGCATAAAGTTTAAAAGAAGAGTAATAAGCTTGATTATATTAAAATTTAAAGCTTCTGTGAGTCAGAAGACACCACATTAAAAAGAAAGGTGGCACAAACTAGAAGACATTTTCAACACAAAAAACCTACTAAAAAAAATTAGAATCCAGAATAGACCAAGAATTTTGGCCAGGCACGGTGGCTCACGCCTACGGTGGCTCACGCCAGCACATGGGTAGGCTGAAGCAGGAGGATCACTTGAGCGCCGGAGTTTGAGACCAGCCTTGGCAACATGGTGAGATGCTGTCTCTACAAAAAAATAAAATAAAATAAAATTAGCCGAGCATAGTGGTGTATGCCTGTAGTCCCAGCTACTCAGGAGGCTGAGGTGGGAGGATCACTTGAGGCTGAAAAGTTAAGGCTGCAATGAGCCAAGATCATGCTATTGTACTCCAGCCTGGGCAACAGAGCAAGATCCTGTTAAAAGAAAAGAAAGAAAAAGGAAGGAAGGAAAGGAAGGAAGGAAAGAAAGAAAGGAAAGAATTTCTACATGTCAGTGAGAAAAAGACAAGCAATCAAAATGTGAAAAAAATGTCTAATCTTACTTGTAATAAGGGTTAATCAATGTAAAGTTAGAATAATTTCATGCACAGAGCAAAAAATTACAACGGTATTGTCAACAATATAGAGCAATAAGAATTTTCCTATACTGCTTGGTAGTATAAATTATTATAATTCCTTTGGAGAACAATTTGACAATATTTCTTGTAGTTGAAGATGTTCATACTCTACCACCCAGAAATTCCATTCCTAGATGTAGACTCTCTCGTACATGTATATAAGAAGACATGTATAAGATGCTCATAGAAGCCCTGTTTATACTAATAGCAAAGAATAAAAATGACCTTAATGCCTGAGAACAGAATAGATACATAAATTGTGTTATAGTCACACAATGGAATACTAAAAACTAGATTGTGGGAAAAGCAAGTTTCAGAGAAATGTCTGTAATCCCAGCACTTTGGGAAGCTGAGGCAGGTGGATCACCTAAGGTCAGGAGTTTGAGACCAGCCTAGCCAACATGGTGAAATCCTGTCTCTACTAAAAATACAAAAATTAGCTGGGCATAGTGGTACATGCCTATAATCCCAGATACTTGGGAAGCTGAGGCAGGAGAATCGCTTGAACCCAGGAGGTGGAGATTTCAGTGAGCAGAGATTGTGCCACTGCACTCCAGCCTGAGGGACAGAGTGAGACTCTGTCTCCAAAAAAAAAAAAAAAGTATATAAAGTTAGAAATATGAGAGATTATACTATATCTTGCTTAAGTCAGTGTTTGAGGAGGCCATAAATGGAGAGGGAGACTTCAATTATATTGGTACTGTTTTATTCTTTAAGGGGAGCAGTGGACACGGTTAAGTTTATGGTATACATTTTTATAGATCTACTATTTGAAAACTTGTTTAAAGTAGTGGCCTTTAATTGTATGTATTGAACCATCAGCTATTGATTAAAACCCTCATATAAAAGTATTTCTGATAATTTCTAAAAAGACCTTTAGGAATTACAGGGCTCTCTTCTTCCAATGAATGGATTATTTTCTTTGAGACTTGATATCAGAGTGTTGGCTACCAGCATGTAGAAAGGACGAGACTTGGAAAGTTTGAGGAATACACAGGTATAGTGTTGGGAATCCTGATAGCTAAAAATAAAGAAGGATGGGGCTGGAGATAGAAAAGAGTCCTACAGAAACATGAAAATATCAAAGAACCAGAATTACAGAACCCCCACCCACACAAACGAGGTGGTTTTTAAAACTGCACTTCACTAGTCAGCAACCAACCTTAGCTCCAGTGGAATGACGTATTCTTGCTCGTCAGGAAAATCTAACACACTTTGTCGTAAACAAAGATAAATGTATCATACAGAATATAGAAAGTATAAATCAAAGTTTTTCAGGCAATGAGAACACTTTCCCCATCTCTACTAAAAAATATAAAAATTAGCCGGGCGTGGTGGCATGTGCCTGTAATCCCACCTACTTGGGAGGCTGAGACATGAGAATCACTTGAACCCTGGAGGCAGAGGTTGCAGTGAGCCAAGATCACACCACTGCACTCTAGCCTGGGTGACAGAGTGAGACTCTGTCTCAATAATAAACAAAACAAAACAAAAAACACCTCACAAAGCAGAAAAAAACAGCACAACACTCCAACTTGGATGAAATTAAACCAGAAATAGTGGAAACGAAAGAACACTATAACTCAGAAATGTAAAATTCTTCATAGAAATAGACCAAAAAAATTGCACAAAGAGCTGACAGAATAGTGGACAGAAATGGATTAAAAAGACAAAAATTATTTCAAAAATGACTAAAAGTTGCCCACAACACAGTGGATGCAAAGTGCTGTATTGAATTAGATATGGAGTACAAGCAAAAGAGCTAGGAAACAAAAGCGGGACAGAGAAAACATTACAAAACAAAGTAGTAGTCATGGAAGGGAAAACATTACAAAACAAAGTAGTAGTCATAGAAGGCAGAAAAGGTTCCAGCATAGGGACACATGGAGAGCCTCAAGAAAACTAAACAAAATAAAACACTGGAAAATAATCAATATTTAATTCATGCAAACTCCTGTTAGCAGCAGCGAATCGTAATGGCTCTGTGACAACCTCAATTCTTGCAGAAGGAAGTAGAGTAGAAGGAAGAATTTGACCAAGGGGCATAAGGCAGACTGAGAGACTGAGGCAAGTTTCAGAGCAGGAGTGAAAGTTTATTAAAAATCTTAAAAAGGCCAGGCGGGGTGGCTCATGCCTGTAATCCCAGAACTTTGGGAGGCCAAGGCGGGTGGATCACTTGAGATCAGGAGTTTGAGTCCAGCCTGGCCAACATGGTGAAATCCTGTCTCTACTAAAAATACAAAAATCAACTGGGCATGGTGGCAGGCTCCTGTAAAATCCCAGTTACCCAGGAAGTTGAGGCAGGAGAATTGCTTGAACCTGGGAGACAGAGGTTGCAGTGAGCTGAGATTGCGCCACTGAACTTCAGCCTGGGTGACAGAGCGAGACTCCATCTCAAAAAAAAAAAAAAAAATGCTTAAGAGGATTGAGCACTGTGGCTCACGCCTATAATCCCAGCACTTTGGGAGGTTGAGGCGGGTGAATCCTTGACTGAGTACAATACCAGCCTAGACAACATGGCAAAAGCCCATCTCTACAAAAACAACAACAACAAAAATATGAAAAAAGAAATTAGCCAAGCGTGGTAGCTTATGCTTGTGTTCCCAGCTAGTTGGAAGGCTGGGGTGGGAGGATCGCTTGAGCCTGGGAGGTTGAGGCTGCAGTGAGCTGTGATTGCACCACCACACTCCAGCCTGGGCAACAGAGCAAGACCCTGTGTCAAGGGAAAAAAAAAAAGCTTAGAACAGAAACAAAAAAGGAAGTGAAGTGTGAAGTACACTTGGAAGAGGGCTAAGTGGATGACTTGAGAGATCAAGTGCCCTGTTTGACCTTTGACTTGGGGTTTTATACATTGGCATGCTTCGGGGGGTTGCATCCCTTCTACCTTGATTCTTCCCTTGGGGTGGGCTCTCTGCATGCACAGTGGCCTGCCAGAACTTGGGAGGGGCTGCATGCCCAGTGTGTTTACTGGAGTTGTATGCATGCTCACTGAAAGTGTTTTTCCCTTACTAGTTTTTCTGGAAGAAGGACCAGTTAAACACCACCATTTTGCCTCTTAGTGCGCATGTGTGAATCCACTTGACCAGTTTCTGAAATCCTATCAGGAAGCTGCTGATTGCCAACTTTCAGTGTGTTGTAGCTATTGGGGGACTGCCTTTCCCTGGAACCGGCGGTGACTAATTATTATTTTAGATAGATGGTTTAACAACTGCCTGACCATCACCTGATAGTCACTTGACATTCCTGGCTGGGGGTGGAGGGGCCTCTCCTGCCTTGTTTATGTCTAACTACCTACTGTAACATTCCCTGAAATAAAATAAGAAAGAAAATGACATATTAAAAGAGCCTATCATATGCTTGAGAAACTTGACCCATAGTAGTTGCATTAAAATGTTAGAATTTGAGGATTTGTGGCCAGACACAGTGGCTCACACCTGTAATCCCAGCACTTTAGGAGGCCGAGGCAGGTGGATCACTTGAGGTCAGGAGTTCGAGACCAGCCTGGCCAACATGGTGAACCCCCGTCTCTACTAAAATACAAAATTAGCCAGCCATGGTGGTGCATGCCTGTATTCCCAACTACTCAGGAGGCTGAGGCAGGAGGATCACTTGAACCCGGGAGGCAGAGGCTGCAGTGAGCCGAGATCACGCCACTGCACTCCGGCCTGGGGCCTGGGGCCTGGGTGACAGAGTGAGACTCTGTCACCAAAAAAAAAAAAAAAAGAAAAGCCCTCCAAACAAATTACCAAGTCATTTATAAAAGAAGCAAATCAGGATGATATCAGACTCTTTGATAACAAAATCTGAAGCAAGACAACAAACAGTAAAACAAGTTGTTAAAGAAACTCAAAGAAGTATACACATCAGTAATTTATCTCCTGGCCAGATACTGTAGTTTACACCTGTAATCCCAGCACTTTGGGAGGCCAAGGTGGAGGGATTGCTTCAGGCTAGGAGTTTGAGACCAGCCTGGGCAACAAAGCAAGACTCTGTCTCTACAAAAAAAATTTTCTTAAAAAGAAAGTATTGCCAGTATCAAAGCAGTCTTAGAGATGGAGGAACTTAGCATATATTGGAATCATGAGTCTGCCTGAAGAATCTACTAAAACAGCAAACAACTATAACCCATGGGTCAAAGCCAGCAGCCACATTGTTTTTATTTATTTTTTTTAGGCAGAGTCTCACTCTGTGGCCCAGGCTGGAGTGCAGTGGCATGATCTCGGCTCGCAGCAATCTCCGCCTCCCAGGTTCAAGCGGTTCTTCTGCCTCAGCCTCCCGAGTAGCTGGGATTATAGGCGTGCACTACTACGCTCAGTTAATTTTCTGTATTTTTAGTAGAGACAGGGTTCACCATGTTGGTCAAGCTAGTCTTGAACTCCTGACCTCAAATAATCTGCCCACCTCAGCCTCCCAAAGTGCCAGGATTACAGGCGTGAGCCACCATGCCCAGCCTGCAGCCACATATTCTGGTACATAAAGTTTTACTGGGACACAGCCATGCTCATTTTGTATGCATTGTCTGTGCTTGCTTTTGTGAGACAATGGCAAAGCTGAAGAGTTGCAACAAGCACTGTATATCCCACAAATGTGCAAATATTTACTATTGGGCCGTTTACAGAAAAAGCTCACCATCCTTGTACTAGAAGACAAACTTCATCCAAAGAATACATGATTAGGGAAAGTTTGGCAAAACGACTGGCGGTGAGTTTTGAAGACTTTATTGTGGTTCTAAGACTAAAAAAAAAAAATTAGGGATGATGTTATATGCTCTGATAGAGTAAAAATAATACAACCGTTTTTTTAGAGGAGAAGGAAGAAAAAAATACAGTAAGTTCATTGATTTCATACAGATAATAGGTGTGTCTCTAAGGATACTGTCAGAAGAGGGAAAATCTGAAAGAAAAATCTTCAAAAATTGCCCAAGATGTCGACAGGTTGGACAGATGTGTAATAAAAACAAGCTTCTGAATTAAAGCTGAACACTCACCTGCAAGGCTTGCAGCCATTAGATCAGATGGCTAATCCCTCTCAGATGAAGCACAGAGACGGGATTAAATCAGTCATGGCTCTCCAGACCTTAAGATGCCTACATACTTGTTAACTTTTTATGCTATATACTTTAACCAATCAGAATTGTTAAGAATTCTGATTGTTAACAATGTGAATTTAGTAAAGACTATGAAACCTCGTCTCTACTAAAAATACGAAAATTAGCTGGGCCTGGTGGCGTGTGCCTGTAATCCCAGATACTTGGGAGGCTGAGGCAGGAGAATCGCTTGAACCTGGGAGGCAGAGGTTGCAGTGAGCCAAGATCATGCCACCGCACTCCAGCCTGGGAGACAGAGCAAGACTCCATCTCAAAAAAAAAAAAAAATAATAATAATAATAATAAACAGTCTTGAAATCAGCCAGATTTACAATTGCACATAACATTAAATAAAAAAGTGCATATTGTAAATCTGACAGCATCCACAAAAACAAGAAAACAAAAAACTATGGCTAATAAGGCAATAGAGACATACAGAATAGTTAATACTTTTATTTTTGACTTTAAATATTATTATTATAGAGGCCGGCTGCAGTGGCTCACATCTGTAATCCTAGCACTTTGGGGCCAGGCGCGGTGGCTCACGCCTGTAATCCGAGCACTTTGGGAGGCCGAGGCGGGCGGATCACAAGGTCAGGAGATTGAGACCATCCTGGCTAACACAGTGAAACCCTGTCTCTACTAAAAATACAAAAAAATTAGCTGGGCGCTGTGGCAGGCGCCTGTAGTTCCAGCTACTTGGGAGGCTGAGGCAGGAGAATGGTGTGAACCCGGAAGCGGAGCTTGGAGTGAGCCAACATCAAGCTACTGCACTCCAGCCTGGGCGACAGAGCCAGACTCCGTCTCAAAAAAAAAAAAAAAAAAAATCCTAGCACTTTGGGAGGCCAAGGTGGGTGGATCACCTGAGGTCAGGAGTTTGAGACCAGCCTGGCCAACATGGTGAAACACTGTCTCTACTAAAAATGCAAAAATTAGCTGGGCATGGTGGCACATGCCTGTAAGTGCAGCTACTTCGGAGGCTGAGGCACAAGCGTCACCTGAACCCGGGAGGTGGAGATTGCAGTGAGCCGAGATTGCACCACTGCACTCCAGCCTGGGTGACAGAGCAAGACTCTGACTCAAAAACAATAAATAAATAAATAATTATTATTATAGAGATGGGGTCTCACTGTGTTGCCCAGACTGGTCTTGAACTCCTGGCCTCAAGCAATCCTCCTGCCTCAGCCTCCCAAAGTGCTGGTATTACAAGCGTGCGCCACTGCGCCTGGATTTATAGCAGTCTTTTAGACTCTGTATTAATTCGAAAGAAAAGCAGAAAAGGGAAAATAGAACACATCATGGGACAAATTGGAAACAATTGCAAGATGGTAGATTCAGTTCAACCATATCAATAATTATACCAAAGACAAATGCAGTATTAGAACGTCATCTCCTAAAAGGTCCTTCTAGCTCTAACGATAAAAACAAAGTAAAGAGAAAGTTACTTTAGAAACATAAAAGTCACCCTATTGAAGCATAATCTTGAAAGTTTATTATCAATTACCTACCAGGAAGGAAAGTCTTGACCAAACTTCAAATTCTAATACATTTATGTCATCTGCCCTTTTAAATTGCTTAAATGATGTTAAAAATTAACATACCTTCCAGCAAATCATGAGTATCTTGGCCCCATTTGGCAAAATGAGTGGAGCCACCTCCCATCCAGGGAAAGCAAATCAGCTTAAAAGTTGCCTCAGGGTTTTTGTATAAGCAGTTGAAAATGTTTTCATTCCTAGGGAGAAAATTCAAATATATTTAACATTATGTATATCAATTAAGTTCCCTATACTGAATTACCTGTGTTTTAATGGAAATCTTTATTAATTATAAGAAACATATGTTCATATATAAAGTGATTGCAAATTTTTCCAATAAGAAAGGGCAAAAAAGATTTTTACAGTCTGTGTTGACAATTTGAATACATAGATTTTTAGGACTAGGCATGGTAGCTCATGCCTGTAATCCTAGCAATTTGGGAGGCCAAGGAGGAGGATCACTTGCAACCAGGAGTTTGAAGCTAGTCTGGACAACATAGTGAGACCTCATGTCAACAAAAAATTTAAAAGTTAGGTTGGCATAGTGGTACACACCTATGATCCTAGCTACTTGGGAGGCAGAGGCAGGAGGATCTCTGGAGCCTAAGAGTTTGAGGGTGCAGAGAGCTATGACTGCACCACTGAATTCCAGTCTCAGTGACAGAGTGACATCTTGCCTCTAATTTTTTTTTTTTTGGAGACATAGTCTCCAAAAAAAAAAAAAAAAAAAAGACATAGTCTCACTTTGTTGCCCAGGCTGGAATGTAGCGGCGTAATGTCGGCTCACAGCAACCTCCACCTTCCAGGTTCAAGTGATTCTCCTGCGTCAGCCTCCCATGTAGTTGAGATTACAGGCAAGTGCCACCATGTCAAGCTAATTTTTTTATGTTTTAGTAGAGACGGGGTTTCTCCATGTTGGTCAGGCTGGTCTCAACCTCCCAACCTCAGGTGATCCGCCCGCCTCGGCCTCCCAAAGTGCTGGGATTACAAAAATAAGCCACACCCAGCCCTTGTCTCTAATTTTTAAATTAAATAAACTTTCAGGGATGTAGGTGAAATAGTCAAATACCTATATATAACATTCAGTAAGTGCATTTTATATGCACACTTAAAGTGACATAAATGTTAATTCAGAAATTGCCTTTTTCACAATTTGGAGAATAATTTTATCCAAACCGTTCATGGGCAGCTTCAATCTTGGTATCTTCATGATCTCCAGAGCCACTTTTCAAGTTATATGTAAGTTTTATAGAGCATATAATTTTGACTTCCTTCTGAATGTTTGATAAACAGTGCTTTTTAAATTTACTTATAGACTGGGCTCAGTGGCTCATGCCTGTAAGCCCAGCACTTTGGGAAGCCAAGGGAGGCAGATCACTAGAGGTGAGGAGTTCGAGACCAGCCTGGCCAACATGGCGAAGCCCTGTCTCTACTAATAATACAAAAATTAGCTGGGTGTGGTGGTGGGCACCTGTAATCCCAGCTACTCGGGAGGCTGAGGCAGGAGGATTACTTGAACCCAGGAGGGGGGGGTTGCAGTGAGCCGAGATCGCACCACCGCTCTCCAGCCTGGGTGACAGAGTGAGACTCTGTCTCAAAACAAGCAAACAAACAAATCTACTTATAATGTCACCGGAATTTTATCCCAAGATCCAAGTACCCAATCAGGTGATATTAGGAAAAGTTCTTTTTGAAAAAGTCATCCTATCTGTACACATTTGTGACCACAATTTAAACAATTTCTATAAAGTTTCCAAATTGATCCTTAAATTCCTTACAAAGATATATAATATTCCCAAATATGAGGTTCTAAACCCTAGTATAATGATGCAATCTGTTATACCCCTCTCGTTTTTTCAGTTGATCTCTACAAACATCCAAAACTAACACCAACTGATATCTTTTCAGGTTAACTTGTGTTCTGTAAAGGGTACTTTGTTCTTCATAACAAAATAATTCAGAACACTCATAAAATGAGAGATTTTCTATGAACCTAGGCACAAACGAAAACTTTTTTTGGGGGGGTGGATAATTTCTGGAGAAAAACTCACTGCTTTTTACTTGGGCACTTATGTTAATAATTACTAGTTTAAAGATAAAGGCAAAAAAGACTAATTTTTATTTTTTTTGAGATGGATTCTTGCTGTCAACCAGGCTGGAGTGCAGTGGCGCGATCTCGTCTCACTGCAACCTGCACCTCCCAGGTTTCAGCAATTCTCCTGCCTCACCCTCCCGAGTGGCTGGGATTACCACCACCCTGAGGGTGCACCACCATACCCGGTGAATTTTTGGTATTTTTAGTAGAGACAGGGTTTTGCCATGTCGGCCAGGCTGGTCTTGAACTCCTGACCTCAGGTAATTCACCTGCCTCAGGCTCCCAAAGTGCTGGGATTACAAGTGTGAGCACCTGGCTGAGAAACCTCTTTCAAACTAAAAAGGGAGCCGTACAAAGGCAGGGTATCGGAGCCCCTGGGATGGAGGAAGAGCCTGGTGGCACAAGGGGTGGCCTGCCTGGTTCTCTTAGGTTGGTCTCCTCTCTCCATGCTGTGAGGTGAGGTTGCAAGATGGCTGGTCTCTGTGGCGTGTTGAGTGCTCAACAGAAGTCAGTTCCTCTTGAGACGAAGAACCTCTGCTCGGCCTTATGCACACAGAAGAGTGAGTAGATTTCTTTTTAAAGGCGCTGACTCTTATTGACCTCTCCAATCCCTGTTAAAAATAAAGAAGGTCAGAGGAAAAGGAAGGAGAAGACAGAGAAGAGAAAAAAATGACAGTGGTGATGACAAAGGAGAAGAAGAAATGGGTTAGAACCAACACAACTGATGTTATTCAGATAAGGAGTCACCACCCCCATCCCACCCCATTCATATCCAATTAGCAGTAAGTGCTTCCATTAACAGGACTGCTCACGTATATACAGACAGACAAAGATGCAACATTTCCAGACTCTAGCCATGAAACAAGCCTGCTCCTAAAAGAACAGAAAACATTCCATACATACTAGAAAATTAGGGTAAGGGTGAGGGATGTTTGTTTTGGCAACAGAGATGTCTTAGCTTTCTAAGTGTTTGTAAAGTTGTGCTCTTTTAAATCTCAAGAAAGTGGCTGGGCGTGGCGGCTCATCCCAGTACTTGAGGTCAGGAGTTCAAGACCAGCCTGGCCAACACGGTGAAACCCCCATCTCTACTAAAAATATAAAAATTAGCCGGATATGTGGCCCATGGCTGTAATCCCAGCTAGTTGGGAGGCTGAGGCAGGAGAATCGCTTGAACCCGGGAGATGAAGTCTGCAGTGAGCTGAGATCGCGCCACTGCACTCCAGCCTGGGTGACAGAGTGAGACTCCATCTCAAAAAGTAAAATAAAATAAATCTCAAGAAAGAGGGATTCTAAAAAAAGGCTTCACTGCTGTGCCAAACTTCCCATTTTGCAATCTTCAAGTATTCAGAAAAGAGAAGAAAAATAACTACTGAAAGAACTGTCATTTATTTATTTATTTATTTATTTATTTATATTTTTTTGAGACGGAGTCTCACTCTGTTGCCCAGGCTGGAGTGCAGTGGCTCAAGTTCAAATGATTGTCCTGCCTCAGCCTCCCAAGTAGCTGGGATTATAGGTGCCCACCACTGCGCCCAGATAACTTTTGTATTTTTAGTAAAGACAGGGTTTCGCCATGTTGCCCAGGCTGGTCTCAAACTCCTGACCTCAAGTGATCCACCCACGTCAGCCTCCCAAAGTGCTGGGATTATAGGCGTGAGCCACCACACCCGGCCAGATCTGACATTTATTTATTTATTCATTTCTTTGAGACTGAATCTCGCTCTATCGCCCAGGCTGGAGTGTGGTGGCACGACCTTGGCTCACTGCAACCTCTACCTCCCAGGTTCAGGCAATTCCTGTGCCTTAGCCTCCCAAGTAGCTGGAATTACAGGCACCCGCCACCAGGCTTGGCTAATTTTTGTATTTTTAGTAGAGACGGGGGTTTCACCATGTTGGCCAGGCTGGTCTTGAACTCCTGACCTCAAGTACAGATCTGTCATTTATAAAGGTCTTTATCTTCTGACTTCCTAGGAGCTCCTTGGATCCCAAGTATTCATTTTAAGGCCACGGTTAACTTGTCAAGCTCAGTTGTGACTTTCAACACAGTTCCAGGGAGCTCAGGTGAATCCCTCAGCTTAAAGCTTTTGTCATGCAGTGGAGGGCATTTTTAGGAACAGAAAGATGTGCCTAAATAGAGGAAGAAAGTTTACAGAGGGTGGGGAGCCCATCTGTTTGTTTCTTAGAGCCTTTTCTTAGTAATTCTGGGCCAGAGCCACCATCAACTCTCAGAAAAAAATCACCTGAATGACTCATGAGGATTTCTCTGACTTTACCTGGAAATAGTTCCTTCTTAGGTAATGATATGAAAGGCAGAAAAAGAGAGCAAGTTCTTCCAAGAAAAATAGGCAGTCAGAGCTGGGATACAAATTTTTTTGGTGTTGACAATTAAAAGTTGTTATGGAGCATTACAAAGTTTTCATAAAATTAGGTTGAATTACTCCAACTCCTTCTAATTGAAGTACATAAAAACCTTGTTTTGTATTATTTTTTGACTTAGCACGGTCTGTGATCAATCATACCTGGGAAGATTAAACATTTAACCACTGTCCAAGTTTACTCAAGAAATATTTTCCAAGTTGAGTAAAATGTCCTGGGTTTTGTTTTCAACACTGGAGGCATCCTCCGGTAAGAATAACAGTGACTCTCTCCTCAAGATGCTTTCATTTGATTGAAACCTCTAGATGCTTTCATTTGATTGAAGTACCAGACGAGAGAAGAGGGAGAGTGGGACAGAGACAATACTCCAGAGATAATGGCTTAGATTTTTGTGGAACTGATGCATAGTACTAGTCCAAAGATAAAACATGCCCAGCAAATGTCCAGCAGAATAGATTACAAAAAAAGCAATCTTTATAGAGATGCATTACAATGAAACTGCAAAACCAAGAAACACAGAAGAAAACTATTAAAAGGAGCCAGGAGGTGAGGAGAGGTGGGGATGGACTCACAGCAATGCAAAAACATGGAAGAGAATAGAATGATATCTTCAAGTACTAAGAGACAAGAACTGCCAAATTAGAATTCTATACCCAGTAAAAACAGCTTTTAGGAAACAGGGCAACATAAAGACATTTTCAGACAAGTAAAAACTAAGTTTGTCACCAGGAGACAATTTTTAAAGAAACGTTAAAGGATATACTTTGAGCAGAAAGTAAATGATCCCAGATGGAAGATAGGAGATGCAAGGAGGAATGAAAAAGACAGTAGTGAGCCGAGATTGCACCATTGTACTCCAGCCTGGGTGACAGGGAAAAACTCTATCTCAAAATTTAAAAAAAAAGAAAGAAAAAAATATATATATATAAAATTAAAATACAAGGCAAAAATAATGTCAAAGCCAGGCACAGGCAAACAAAGTTCCTTACATTATCTGTGAGGTTTTACTAAATTTAGACTGTATAAATATGCATGCCTTAATTTCTCAGGCTAGCCCTTAGAAGAATAGAAACAGACTGTAAATCATCCAAACTGGAAGAGAAAAATGTTTATTTAATCAAAAAGAGAACTGAGAAAAGGCAAGGGAAAGAAACATAGAACAGGTAAAACAAATAAAAATTGAATACAAGATGACAGATTAAGCCCCAGATACCAGTGATTATATTATATATAAACAGACTAAATTCTCTAGTTACAAAGCAATATTCGCAGATTAGATTAAAAGATAATCCAACTATAGGCTGTGCATATGAGACATATCTGAGAAGGTATTACTCTATGATTTTTAGATAATTTAAAATATAAGATACTCACTTGCCAGGCTTTGAGATGAACTCTGAGCAGACAATCTGAAAGATGACTTTCTTTGGATTGCCAAAGAAAGAGAGGACACAGGAAATGAGGTAATCTCAGAACATTATGAAAGAACAATGAAAACAACAAAGCAGGAAGAATGACATGGGCTGTGGCCCAGAGGAGACACAATGTACCATCTATTAGGAAAATAAAAGAAGTTAACTAAACTGGAAGGCAAGGCTGGTGCAGTGGCTCACACCAGTAATCCCAGCACTTTGGGAGGCTAAAGTGGGCGGATCACCTGAGGTCTAGAGTTTGAGATGGGCCTGGCCAACATGGTGAAACTCCACCTCTACTAAAAAATACAAAAAATTAGCTGGGCATGGTGGTAGGCACCTGCTACTGAGGAGGCTGAGGCAGGAGAATCACTTGAACCCAGGAGGCAGAGGTTGCAGTGAGCCTGAGATCACGCCACTGCACTCCAGGGCAACAAAAGCAAAACTCTGTCTGAAAAAAAAAAAAAAAAAGAAGAAGAGAATCCACTGGAAGGTGGAAAAAGGTGAATTGACTTTCAGAATTACTGACTAGACAGTAAAATCAAGTTAAGAGGCTGTTTTAGACATCTAGATGATAAAGAGTGATACCTGGCCTTATAATATTAGCAAACACATAACACTAAGGACCAAGCACCCTTCTAAGCTTTCAATACCTATTAAGACTTTTCGTGTTTTCAATCATGTAGGCATTATTCACAAGAATAATTAAGGTATTATGTCCCCTATTTTGAAGATTAAAAAAAGCTAAGGCACAGAGAGGTTAAGTAACTGACTAAAAGACACGTGGATGGCTGGACGCGGTGGCTCACACCTGTAATCCCAGCACTTTGGGAGGCCAAGGCGGGTGGATCACAAGGTCAGGAGACTGAGACCACCCTGGCTAACATGGTGAAACCCCATCTCTACTAAAAATACAAAAAATTAGCTGGGTGTGGTGGCGGGCGCCTGTAGTCCCAGCTACTCGGGAGGCTGAGCCAGGAGAATGGTGTGAACCCGGGAGGCGGAGCTTGCAGTGAGCGGAGATCACGCCACTGCACTCCAGCCTGGGCGACAGAGCGAGACTCCTCCATCTCAAAAAAAAAAAAAAAAAAAAAAAAAAGACACGTGGGTAGGAAACAGACCAGAGGGCAAATCCAAGTAGTCTGGTTCCAGAAACTATGCTTTTCACCCCTAATGCATTCTGCCTTTGTGCTAATGTGGAGGAGCTAAGGATGAAAAGAAGGCTTGGGTTCTTCAGCCACTTTGACCATGAAACCAGTAGGAATTGATAATTTCTTAGATATGGAGACTGTGGGAGAGGGAGGAAGCAAGTATGATGTCCAACTATTTTATAGCACAACAGAGTGACTGTAGTCAATAATAACTTAATTGTACATTCTAAAATGACTAGAAGAGTATAATTGGATTGTCTGTAACACAAAGGATAAATGTTTGAGAGGGTGGATACCCCATTCTCCGTGACATTACATTGCATGCCTGTATTAAAACATCTCATGGGCTGGGCACGCTGGCTCACACCTATAATCCTAGCACTTCAGGAGGCCAAGACAGGTGGATTGCCTGAGGTCAGGAGTTCCAGACCAGCCTGGCTAACATAGTGAAACCCTGTCTCTACTAAAAATACAAAAAATTAGCTGGGCGTGATGGCGGGTGCCTGTAATCCCAGCTACTTGGGAGGCTGAGGCAGGAGAATCGCTTGAACCGGGGAGGTGAAGGTTGCAGTGAGCCGAGATCACGTCATTGCACTCCAGCCTGGGCAAAAAGAGCAAAACTCTGTCTCAAAAGAAAAAAGAAAAATACCATGTGTATTTGTTGTATTTGTGCCTGGTACCATTCAGGGGTTGGGAGTTGTGCATACTCTCCTCAAACTCAATTACCGATGCACTGAAAGTCAGTGGTTTGCAGGTGAAGAGTGTAGGATAGAGTCCTGAGAATCACTAGCATTTAAACACCAAGCAGAAAAAGAGAAGCTGACAGAAAAGTTAGATGGAGATGCCAGGGAAATAGGAGGACAAAGACGTAACTGGGCCTCTCAGGAAGAGCCCAGAGGATGCCAACGGGTCAAAGGTGTGGGCCAGTTGCGGTAGCTCACACCTGGAATCCCAGCACTTTGGTAGGCCGAGGTGGGTTGGACCACCTGAGGTCAGGAGTTTGAGATCAGCCTGGCCAACATGGTGAAACCCCGTCTCTACTAAAAATACAGAAATCAGCCAGATGTCATGGTGCACGCCTGTAATCCCAGCTACACAGGAGGCTGAGGCAAGAGAATCACTTGAACCAAGGAGGTGGAGTTTGCAGTGAGCCGAGATCAAGCCACTGCACTCCAGCCTGGGCAACAGAGTGAAACTCCGTCCCAAAAGAAAAAAAAAATGGCTGGGTATGGTGGCTCACGCCTGTAATCCTAGCACTTTGGGAGGCCGAGGCAGGCGGATCACCTGAGGTCAGGAGTTTGAGACCAGCCTGACCAACATGGAGAAACCCCGTCTCTACTAAAAATATGAAATTAGGCAGGCGTGGAGGCACATGCCTGTAATCCCAGTTACTCAGGAGGCTGAGGCAGGAGAATCGCTTGGACCTGGGAGGCAGAGGTTGCAGTGAGCCAAGATCGCACCATTGCACTCCAGCCTGGGCCACAAGAGCGAAAACTCTGTCTCAAAAAAAATAAAAATAAAAATAAAAATAAAAAAAGGTGTGGAATGCCTCTAAGAGATCAAAGAAGACAAGAACTGAAAGTATCCTATCGTGCTGGTGATAATGGGATAATTCTAATCCAGGAAAGAGAAGCTTCGGGTACTTCTCTTTGCCTGTGGGAAAAGCACAGTAGCCTGGGAGCCCCTCTGGGGTTTGCTGCTGAAATTGGGCTGCACCCACTCTAGTCAATAGGGCATTTGGACTGAGCACCAACATTGTTCACTGTCTTCAAGAGAGAAGCCTTAGGAGCCTCATGGGAGTAGAGTGAGATGGCCAGGTAAACTGATCAGATGAGTAATCTGATGGTTGAGGTAGGGAGACAGTGCTTAAGAGGGAGGCAGGATTGAGGAAAATTAAAAAGAGAGAAAGGGATGGTTTGAGACCATCCCTTTGAGATGGAGCAAAGTCCTAGAGTAGAAAGAGGATTCTTGTAATCATCACTGATTTTCTGTACTGCTAGACAGTAAGCTCTTTGAGTATGGAGGCTTTGGTGGTTTTGTTCACAGTTGCATCCTCCTTGCTTCCTACCATGCAAGAATGAACAAGGAATTCCTATCATGTGGAATGAACAATAAATGAATGAATAGGAGTAGAAAACGGGGTAGCGGTTATTGCTAAAAAGGCATGATGAAACTTGTTCATCTAGGACGGGGGAAAGGGAAGTGGGGAAGGGAAGGAAGGAAGGGGTGATGCTGCAGAGATATTTTGAGGCTGAAGCAGAGGAGGTTAGAGTTTAGACAGATGGCCTCTTTTCCCAGGAATGTAGGAGAGATCATTGGACAATTATGGGATGACTGGTGATTAGGATAAAGTTGGAATGGTCAATAGTGGGAGCAACTGGAAAGGCTAAATCCACAGTTGCCAATAGCTGTGACTGAAATCTGTATCTTTCACCACTGGTGTCAGCCAGCTTTCTTGATCTTCTGTGGCAATGAGGATAGGCTCAGAAACAAAGATGGTGAACAGATGGGTTGACCCAAGCATGAGACTGGCAGGTTGGAAGGACAGAAACCAAAGGGGAAAGAGAATTGAGGGTGCCCCATAAAGAGAAAGGGTGTAATGGGATTATGACTGGGGAGTGACAAAGGGACAGCAGGAGAGGGCTCCACTTTCTGGGGAAAAAGAGGCCCCAGGACTGGAAGTTGTCATGGGGACAAAGAGTAAGTCCATAGGAGAGAAGGAATGGGGCATGGGGAAAGTGTGTGATGGCTGCAATGGAAAGGTGAAATTTCAAAGTCTGAGACTTAGGAGGTGAGACCACTCTAAAAGACCACCCAAGCACAGGCTTTTGTGGGAACTGTGAGGTTCAGGGGTTCAGAAGCAAAGTGAGCTAAAGATGGCAGAAAGGGTACCTACCTTGGCACAGGGGACCTTTTTGATTCCTCATAAGATGAGGATCAGTTTTGCTTAACAAATCATCGTAAGTGATGCCCTTCTTAGGGGATACAGACTTCTCCCTGTGGGGCCTTGTCTTCCAAACTGACGACTGCACAGTCTTGCTGTTGGCCACCTCCTGAAATGTTGCCTTCTTCTGGGGGACTCTTAGCTAAAATACAGACAGGCCTCTTTCCAGCAGCAGCTGTCCGTATGCTTACAATGAGTAAAGATACAATCATGGAGAAAGGGTGCTAGTTCAGCATCTCAAAAGTCGCCTACAAATGCAATCTTCTCTTTTTTTTTGAGGCAAAGTTTTCCTCTTATTGTCCAGGCTGGAGTGCAGTGGCACAATCTCGGCTCACTGCAACCTCCGCCTCCCAGGTTGAAGTGATTCTCCTGCCTCAGCCTCCCAAGTAGCTGGAATTACAGGCATGCATCACCACACTCAGCTAATTTTGTATTTTTAGTAGAGATGGGGTTTCAGGGTGTTGGCCAGGCTGGTCTCGAACTCCTGACCTCAGGTGATCTACCTGCCTTGGCCTCCCAAAGTGCTGGGATTACAGGCATGAGCCATGGCACCCAGCCACACATGCAGTCTTCTAGGGAGATTTTTAAACTAGCTTTTCTTTGAGTTGCAATTCCCTTTTTTTTTAGAGAGACATAGTCTTCCTCTGTCACTCAGACTGGCGTGCAGGGGTGCTATCATAGCTCACTGCAGCTTCAACTTCCCAGGCTCAAGCAATCTTCCCACCTCAGCCTCCCGAGTAACTAGGACTAGAGGTGCACACCACCACACCTGCCTAATTCTAAAAATTTCTTTTTGGAGATGGGGGTCTCTCTATGTTGCCCAGGCTGGTCTCGAATTCCTGACTTCAAGCAGTTCTCCTGCTTTAGCTTCCCAAAGCGCTGGTATTACAAGCGTGAACCACTGCACCCAGCCTGAGGTGCAATTCCCAGTCAAGATGCTGAATATATTTGCAAGAATTCAGGGCAGTACTGGTACTAACAGCCCAAATGACTGATCCATGCTCTTGGAACCTATATTTCATCAATTCTCCCACATGCCCTCCCAGTGAGTTTTAACACGTCCCTGCTGTTTCCCCTGCAATGTCTCTGCGTTAGTCCGTTTTCATGCTGCTAATAAAAACATACCCGAGACTGGGTAATTTATACTGGAAAAGGGTTTCACAGACTTACAGTGCCACATAGCTGGGGAGGCCTCACAATCATGGTGGAAGGCAAGGAGAAGCAAGTCACATCTTACACGGATGGCAGCAGGCAAAGAGAGAGTTTGCACAGGGGAACTCCCGTTTTTAAAACTGTCAGATCTCATGAGACTCATTCACTAACACAAAAATAGCACAGGAAAGACCCATCCCCCTGATTCAACCACCTCTCACTGGGTTTCTCGCATAACACGTGGGAATTGTGGGAGTTACAATTCGAGATGAAATTTCGGTGGGGATACAGTATTATTCCACCCTGGACCCCTCCCAAATCTTATGTCCTCACATTTCAAAACCAATCATGCCTTCCTAACAGTCCCCCAAAGTCTTAACTCATTTCAGCATTAACTCAGAAGTCCACAGTCCAACATCTTATCTGAGACAAGGTGAGTCCCTTCCGCCTATCAGCCTGTAAAATCAAAAGCAAGTTAGTTACTTCCTAGATACAATGGGGTACAGGCATTGGGTAAATACAGCAGTTCCAAATGGGAGAAATTGGCCAAAACAAAGGGGCTACAGGCCCCATGCCAGTCCAAAATCCAACAGGGCGGTCAAATCTTAAAACTCCAAAGTGATCTCCTTTGATTCCATGTCTTGCATCTGGGTCACACTAATGCAAGAAGTGGGTTCCCAGGGTGTTGGGCAGCCTCCAACCCCAAGCCCAAGATTCGCAAGCACCTGCAGTCTGCCCTGAGGGCTGGAGCAGGGTTTTTCCTGGTTCATCCAGGCAGCGTTCCTGGCCTGTGGCTCTTTGTGTTGGCAGTATAGAGAACACTTGGCTATTCTTATTCCTGGCTGAAGTCGCTGCCAGTTACATAAAGAACAGAGCTTACATTGATAAGGCTGTAAAAGTTTAATGCCTCCCATCCCCATACGTAGAGAATTCAGGCAAGTTCTACCAGCAATATGAGATTTCCTATACTATTCCTTCATCTCAGACACTCTGCTGCCTGTGGATAGCTCACAAGAAATGGGTCGTGTTTCATCTAGGAAGCCATCTAGCTATCGGTTAGGCCTCTGATGTGATGTGCCCAGCCTCCACAGTTACAACTAGTGACTTACACTTTTTTTTTTGATACGGAGTCTCGCTCTGTCACCCAGCCTGGCGTGCAGTGGTGCAATCTTGGCTCACCGCAACCTCCGCCTTCCAGGTTCAAGAGATTCTCCTGCCTTAGCCTGCTGAGTAGCTGGGATTACAGGCGCTCGCCACCATGCCTGGCTAATTTTTGTATTTTTAGTAGAGACGGGGTTTCACCATGTTGGCCAGGCTGGTCTCAAACTCCTGACCTCAGGTGATCCGCCTGCCTTAGCCTCCCAAAGAGCCAGGATTATAGGCGTGAGCCACTGCAGCCGGCTTCTATGATAATAATTCTTTAAAGTTAAAAATAAAAGTATTAAAAACTGTTCTGTATGTCTCTATTGCCTTATTAGCCATAGCTCTTTGTTTTCTTGTTTTAGTGGTTACTGTCGGATTTACAATACGCACCTTTTTTTTTTTAATGTTATGTGCAATTGTAGTTTTGCTCCAGCCGATTTCAAGACTGTTTGTTTGTTTGTTTGTTGATTTATTTATTTTGAGACACAGTCTCGCTCTGTCTCCCAGGCTGGAGTGCTGTGGCACGATCTTGGCTCACTGCAACCTCTGCCTCCCAGGTTCAAGCGATTCTCCTGCCTCAGCCTCCGGAGTATCTGGGATTACAGACATGCACCACCATGCTTGGCTAATTTTCGTATTTTTAGTAGAGACGAGGTTTCACCATGTTGGTCAGGCTGCTCTCAAACTCTTGACCTCGTGATCTGCCTGCCTCAGCCTCCCAGAATATTGTGATTACAGGTGTGAGCCACTGCGTCTGGCCTACAATTCTTGCTTTAAAAAATTCTGAGAGGCTGTAATCCTAGAACTTTGGGAGGCTGAGGAGGGAGGATTGCTTGATCCCAGGAGTTCGAGACCAGCCTGGGCAACATAGCAAGGCCCCCCAATCCCTACAAAAATTTTTAAAAATTAGGCACAGTGGTATGCACCTGTAGTCCCAGCTACTCAGGAGGCCAAGGAGGGGAGGATGTCTTGAGCCCAGGAGTTTGAGGCTGCAGTGAGCTGTGGTTGTGGCACTGCACTCCAGCATGGGCAAGAGTGAGATCCCATCTCTCTTTTTTGGGGGGATAGAGTCTCGCTTTTGTTGCCCAGGTTGGAGTGCAATGGCGCAATCTCAGCTCACTGCAACCTCCACCTCCCAGGTTCGGCGATTCTCCTGCCTCAGCTTCCCAAATCGCTGGGATTACAGGCACTCACCACCAGGCCCAGCTAATTTCTGTATTTTTAGTAGAGATGGGGTTTCGCCATTTTGCCCAGGCTGGTCTTGAACTCCTGACCTCAAGCGATCCACCCACCTTGGAATCCCAAAGTGCTAGGATTACAGGCATGAGTCACCACGCCTGGCTCCATCTTTAAAAAATAAATAAATAAAAATTCTTAGAGGATTTGACCTCCAGGAAATAGCTATAACCACAGTTAAATGTAAAGACAATAATGTGACTTAAACGTACAGTTAATCAGCGTCTGGGCCAGGACCTTCTTAGCAGGTCGTGTGCAGTTTCCTTTGCTGGTTTCTCATTGCAGGCATATACAGCTGTGGGGTGCTGGGCTAACATCTAGAATCACTCAGCCCCTGGGAGGCCATGGGTAAACCACACACCATTCTGGGCCTGGGTTTCTTCAGCTGCCTCGCGAGATTGGTGTGAGATTCAATGAGAACATGAGCAATGAAAGGAGACAGTGGAGAGTGTCAGGCTACAAAACCTCAGGCTCTTTTTGTTTGACGCTCTGTGATTTGATCTTTTTCTAAGGTGGAAATGGCACACCATTTGCCCATGCTCCCCTTTCTCCCCAAGAGCCAGATCTACCTCTGTGCTTCCCCATGGCGTCCCAATGCAGAGCCCCGAGAAGATAGCGTAAAATGCTTTTGACTGGGAAGAAAACTTGGAGCACAGGAGATGGCGCTTGATATAGTTTGGGTAAATGTCATCCCCCCTGCTGGAGGTGGGGCCTGGTGGGAGGTGTTTTGGTCAAGGGGGCGGATCCCACGTGGCTTGGTGCTGTCTCAGAGATAGTGAGTTCTCATGAGATCCGGTCCTTCGAAAGCTATGGCACTTCCCCATCCAGCTTTCTCTTTTGCTCCTGCTTTCGCTGTGTGACCCGTGCCTTTTCCTACTTCCCCTTCCCCCATGAGTCAAGGCTTCTGGAGGCCTCCCTAGAAGCAGATGCCAGAGCTACCCTTTCTGTATAGACTGCAGAACCAGGAGCCAGTAAGTCTCTTTTCTCATAAATTACCCGGTCACAGGTATTTCTTTATAGCAAAGCAAGAACAGCCGAATACAGTGCTGTTTGGCACCAGCCTCGGGATTTGGAAGTCACACTCCGACTATACCGGGCTTTCTCTGGTCCGTGGCTTCCTTTTCTCTAACTTTGCTTCTCTATGCTCCTAGAATGCCTCTCCCCAACTCACCACTGCCTTCTCTGCTAGCAAACTCCTACTTCTGGGAGTTCAATGAACAACCCCAGCCTTTTAACTCTCAGCGCCTGTAATCCCAGCACTTTGGGAGGCCGAGGTGGGCGGATCACGACGTCAGGAGTTCGTGACCAGCCTGGCCAACATGGCGAAACCCTGTCTCTACTAAAAATACAAAAATCAGTGGGGCGTGGTGGTGCGCACCTGTAATCCCAGCTACTCGGGAAGCTGAGGCAGGAGAATCGCTTGAACCCGGGAGGTGAAGGTTGCAGTGAGCCGAGATCGTGCCACTGCATGCCAGCCTGGGCAACAAGAGCAAGACCCGTCTCAAAAAAAAAAAAAAAGAAAGAAAGAAAAGAAAAAATGAAAACTGTCTGCAGTACAGTCTTATGCTTCTTTATGGGCTGTTGAAGATACTCTCTGGTTTTGGCATAGGCCACAGTGGAACCCACCGTGAGCTCCCAAGACCATAACTGATTAGTCCATCACAGAGCACACCTGCAAGAACAAAGTGGCTGGGCCATAGACCACTTCCAGCCTCAGCTCACCCTGCAAAGGGACAGTCTTCTCTCATCATCATGTGGGTCCTGCTGTGAAGGCCTCAGATCCCAGTAGGGCCTTATCCTTCCTTCTTCATTGTATTTCCTTTCGGAGTTCCTTAGTATCCTTTCTTGCCCATCAAAGAAGTTCTAATAATGTTCAAAAAGGGTAGAGTCGGCTGGGTGCAGTGGCTTACTCCTGTAATCCCAGTACTCTGGGAGGCCGAGGTGGGCAGATCACCTGAGGTCAGGAGTTCAAGGTCAGACTGGGCAACATGGCGAAACCCCGTCTCTACTAAAAATACAAAAATTAGCCAGGCATGGTGGTGGGAGCCTGTAATCCCAGCTACTTGGAAGGCTGAGGCAGGAGAATCTCTTGAACCCAGGAGAATTGCTTGAACCTGGGAGGCGGAGGTTGCAGTGAGCCAAGATCTTGCCATTGCACTCCAGCCTGGGTGACAGAGCGAGACTCCGTCTCAAAAAAAAAAAAAAAAGAAAAAAAAAAAATGGTGGAGTCTGCCCTTTCCTCTAGGAGGTTCCTTCCCCCACCTCTTTCTCTCCTGGTAGTTTCCCTTTCCACCTGGCAGAGCTGATTCTTTTGCTAAAGTTCCTCCTAACCCATCAGTCTCTTTTCCCTCCCCCTCCTT
Source organism: Homo sapiens (assembly GCF_000001405.40). Lineage (NCBI taxonomy): Eukaryota > Metazoa > Chordata > Mammalia > Primates > Hominidae > Homo > Homo sapiens. The sequence goes on along the minus strand of NC_000010.11, from coordinate 15,033,962 downwards.
CTTCCTTCCTTTCTCCCTACCTGCTATAGTTTGAACATTTGTCTCCTTCAAAACTCATGTTGAAATTTAATTGCCTTTGTAATATTAAGAGATAGGACCCTTGGGAAAACTATTAGATGGTGAGGGCTCTGCCTTCATGGGTGGGATTAATGCCCTTATAAAAGGGTCAGTTCAGCCCCTTCCTGCCCTCTCTCTTTTTGCCCTTTCCTCTTCCACCCTATGAAGACAAAGACAAAGCCTTCTTCCCATCTGGAGGACGCACGTTCAAAGTACCATCTTGCAATGAGAATGCCCAAACTGCAGGTGCCTTCATACTGGACTTCCCAGCCTTCAAAACTGTGAGCCAATAGACTTCCGTTCGTTATAAATTACCCGGTCTTGGGTAACCTGTTATAGCAGCATAGACTAAGACATCACCTCTTCTCTCTGCCTTCTCTTCCTCTTCTTTTTTCTTCTCCTCCCCCTCTTTCTTCTCCTTTTTCTTCTTCCTCTCTCCTCCTTCTCTTCTTCTTTCTGTTTCTCTGCCTATCCAATCCCTCCCTTGCACTCTCTTACTATATATATTGTAAATAATGATAAGAAAGGAAATGATCTTGCTGATATGCCTAGATTTGAAGTCATCAAAGGATTTGCCCTTTACAGTCACCCTTTATCTCAATTCAGTCAGTCCAGAAATTCAAATATGTGCCTTAAAAATTAGGGAACCATGGATTTCTAGTCATTTTTCCTACTAGTTATAAAATCCACAATAAGTAAAATTGCTACATGAGTTAAATACTTTTCACTGGTAGGCTGCAGCGGTTCAGGCCTGTAATTCTAGCACTTTGGGAGGCCGAGGCAGGTGGATCGCTTTAGGTCAGGAGTTCAAGACCAGCCTGGCCAACATGGTGAAACCCCATCTCTACTTTAAAAAAAAAAAAAAATTAGCCCACTGTGGTGGTGGGCACCTGTAATCCCAGCTTCTTGGGATGCTGAGGCATGAGAATCATTTGAACCTGGGAGGTGGAGGTTGCAGTGAGCCAAGATTGCACCACTGCACTCCAGCCTGGGCTACAAAGTAAGACTGTCTAAAAAAAAGAAAACAAAAAACTTTTCTTTATTGATAGGTGTCAGAATTAAGGAAGTTGTTTTTTGCTGGAGGCAGAAATATGGGGCCAGATTTCATTACCACACTTCTCAGAATTTAAGAACTTTCTGATTTTGTTGCCTTTTGAGAAGCATTTCGGAAATCACCTCCTGGCCAAGAATAAACCGCTAGTGAGAAACTTAATGCATGTAGCACTTTGAAAAACAAGTTATAGAATTCCCTGTGCGATGTTTTTCTTTTTTTTTTTTTTTTTTTGAAACTGAGTCTCACTCTGTCGCCCAGGCTGGAGTGCAGTGGTGTGATCTCAGTTTACTGGAACCTTTGCCTCCCGGGTTCAAGTGATTTTCCTGCCTCTCTCCTGAGTGGCTGGGACTACAGGCGCCCTCCACGATGCATAGCTCATTTTTTTTTTTTTTTTGTATTTTTAGTAGTGATGGGGTGTATTAGTCAGGGTTCTCTAGAGGGACAGAACTAATAGGATAGATGTATGTATAAAGGGGAGTTTATTAAGGAGAATTGACTTACATATGACAACGTGAGGTCTCACAATAGGCCATCTGCAGGCTGAGGAGCAAGGAAGCCAGTCAGAGTCCCAGAACTGAAGAAATTGGAGTCTGATGTTCAAGGGCGGGAAGCATCCAGCATGGGAGAAAGATGGAGTCTGGGAGGCTAGGCTAGTCCAGCCTTTTCACATTTTTCTGCCTGTTTATATTCTAGCCACGCTGGCAGCCGATTAGATGGTGCTCACCCAGATTGAGGGTGGGTCTGCCTTTCCCAGTTCACTGACTTCCCTGTTAATCTCCTTTGTCAACACCCTCACAGACACAGCCAGGAACAATACTTTGCATCCTTCAATCCAGTCAAGTTGACACTTAGTACTAGTAATCACATGAGGTTTAACGGTGTTGCCCAGTCTGGTCTCAAATTCCTGACCTCAGGTGATCCGCCTGCCTCGGCCTCCCAAAGTGCTGGGATTAGAGGCGTGAGCCACCGCACCCAGCCTGAATGTTCTTTTGAGCATTTGTCACTTCCAAATGAAAAAAAAAAAAAGTATCTAATTTTTTCCAGTTCTTTCTGGTAATAAATTCATCTTCCCTTTAATAGGGCTCTATTAAAGTTTTAATAACAGAATTGTCTTTTGTTAGTAATGAGTAGAATGGATGATCTATTCATTTGCTTATTTACCCATCCACACTAGAAGTAGAGCACTAAGAGGTACAAAGACATGGTAGGTTTTTGCCTCTGTGAGCTCTTAATCTGGTGGAAGGTATAAGAAAACAGACTTTTGCCGGGCGTGGTGGCTCACGCCTGTAATCCCAGCACTTTGGGAGGCCGAGGCGGATGGATCACTTGAGGTCAGGAGTTTGAGACCAGCCTGGCCAACATGGTGAAACTCCATCTCTACTAAAAATACAAAAATTAGCTCAGTTTAGTGGCATACACCTGTAATCCCAGCTACTCGGGAGGCTGAGGCAGGAGAATCACTTGACTCTGGGCGGCAGAGGTTGCAGTGGCCAAGATTGCGCCACTGTACTCCAGCCTGGGCAACAGAGCGAGACTCTCAAAAAAAAAAAATTCTTTTGAGAGAGTAGAGTTGGGACATTTTTATATATTGCATGTAATATGGATGCGGCCTCTGAGAACAGGGGTGCCAATAGCTACAAAGGTGAAATTGGCCCTGAACTTTCCACTTTCCATGTACACAGGTGTTGTCTAGATTTGCAAGGCTGAGGAACTGATATCATGGACAAAAAACTGTTCAGAACTTTCTTATTGGCAGTCCTTCTGCAATCAAGGACCCAGCCAACTATTTGCACTGGACTGGGTACCCTGGGACCAGTGGGAAGCCACGTTGCGGATGCTGGAAAAGATACCAGATTAAAAAACTGCACTAAGCCTTGATAGATAAGAGCTTATTGGGGACTTTTAGGAGCTGACACAGCAGCAGCGCTTCAAGGGGCTGAGTCTTATTTTTTTTCCTTTTTTAAGACACAGGGTCTTTTTCTGCCACCTAGACTGGAGTGTAGTAGGGCAGTCATAGTTCACTGCAGCCTCCAACTCCTTGGCTCAGGGGATCCTCCTGCCTCAGCCTTCTGAGTAGCTAGGACTACAGGTGTACACCACCATGCCCAGTTAATTTTTATATTTTTTGTAGAGAGAGTCTCACTATGTTGCCCAGGCTGGCCTTGAACACCTGGCCTCAAACTCCTGTCTTCAAGCAATCCTCTCTCCTTGGCCTCCCAAAATGCTGGGATTATAGGCGTGAGCCACCGCACATGGTCCCCAAGGGATTAAGTCTTAAACTCATGTTTCCTGATTTAAAAAAAATATACATCGTCGGGCATGTTGGCTCATGCCTGTAATCTCCACACTTTGGGAGGCTGAGGCGGGTGGATCATTTGAGGTCAGGAGTTCATGACCAGCCTGGCCAACATGGAGCAACCCTGTCTCTACTAAAAATACAAAAATTAGCCGGGCGTGGTGGTGCCTGCCTGTAGTTCCAGCTACTCAGGAGGCTGAGGCATGAAATCACTTGAATCCAGGAGGTGGAGTTTGCAGTGAGCAGAGATTGTGCCACTGCACTCAAGCCTGCGTGACACAGTGAGACTCTGTCTCAAAAAAATAAATGAATAAAGCTAAACATAAAAAATATACACCATCTTCCCCTTGCACCAGACATCCATTTCCTGTAGGAGATCTGCAGACAGTAGAGGAGAGTTGACCTGAGTCCCTTGCATTGAGCCAAGGCCTGCTAGTGGCAGATTGCTTCTGCCTGTGAGCCCTAGCTGACCTCAGCTTTCCTTTGCTCTGATACTAATCTTGCTTATGATTGTACTTTGATGCACTCTAGTGAACAACTCATTATGCTCTGCACATCTGGGGTCCCCAACATGAGCCCCAGATTTGATGGTTTAAGAGGAGGGCTCACTGGACTTGTGGCTATGATGTATTACAGTGAAAAGATCCAAAGCAAATGAGCAAAAGGAGAAGGAGCATAGCGTGAGCTCCAGAGGAAACAACGCTCAAGGTTCCAAGAGTCCTGTCCCAGTGGAATCACACAGGCCATGCTCAGTTCCTCCTGAACCAAGTTGTGACAACACGTGAAATGGTGTCCACCAAGAAAGCTTGTTAGAGACTCAGTGGCCAGGGTTTTTATTTGGGGCTGGTTACATAGGTACCCGCTGCCTAGCATGTACCAAAATTTCAGGCTCTCAGGAGAGTGACATAAATCAGATTGTTTGTACACATGTGTTAAGCAGTGTGAGCCACTCTTATCAGGAATGGTGAGAACACCCCTGAGATCTCAGTTGCCCAGTGCCAGTGGAGGGCCAGCCCTGGCAGCCTGCCTTTCTAAAGACAGCAATCTCAGCTCTACCCTGTTAATTCTTTCCTTTACCCTTGATATGATTTGGCTTTGTCCCCACCCAAATCTCATCTTGAATTGTAGCTCCCATAATTCCCACGTGTTGTGGGAGGGACCCGGTGGGAAATAACTGAATCATGGGGGCAGTTTCCCCCATACTGTTCTCATGGTAGTGAATAAGTCGCACAAGATCTGATGGTTTTATAAAGGGCTTCCACTTTTGCTTGGCTGTCATTCTGTCTTGTCTGCTGCCATGTAAGATGTGCCTTTTGCCTTCCACCATGATTGTGAGGCCTCCCCAGCCATATGAAACTGAGTCCATTAAATCTTTATTAGCAGTGTGAAAATGGACTAATGAAACCCTCCTTTTGCTTTTGACAACCCATGTCTGCTTCTGCCACTTGAGAAAGAACAAAACTACCTTCTGCTTGTTCTAAGACTATCTATTGCTAGTGCTCTAAATTTAACTAAGTAGGCTGGGCAGGGTGGCTCACACCTGTAATCCCACCATTTTGGGAGGCCAAGGCAGGTGGATCAACTGAGGTTAGGAGTTTGAGACCAGCCTGGCCAACATGGTGAAACCCCATCTCTACTAAAAATACAAAATTAGCTGGGTGTGGTGGTACACACCTGTAATCCCAGCTACCCTGGAGGCTGAGGCAGGAGAATGGCTTCAACCTGGGAGGCAGAGGTTGCAGTAAGCCAAGATTGTGCCATTGAACTCCAGCCTGGGTGACAAGAGTGAAACTCCATCTCAAAAATAAATAAATAAAATAAATAAATAAATGAATGAATGTAACTGATTAGTGGAGCTACTATTACTTACCCGGTGCTGCCAATAAAAATTTGATAGTTGTTTTAAATAGGTCAGAAAATAGATTTCTTTCTACAGGTCTCTTCTGGCCCTGACATTTCTTGCACATCATTAATCTCAATATTTGATCTTGTAAAAACTGGACTTTGATCTCAGGTTCACAGAATTTTTCTACTGAGGATGTTCTAATCCTATTAGCAAAAGCCAGCCTATCACGGGTGGCACTAAAATCAGGGTTGTCTTTACTGCAATAAAATAATCAGTTTGGGTGGGGTGTGGTGGCTCATGCCTGTAATCCCAGCACTTTGGGAGGCCAGGGTGAGTGGATCACTTGAGTTCATAGCAGAAACCCATATCTACAAAAAAGACAAAAAAATTTAGCCAGGCATGGTGGCATGTGCCTGTAGTCCCAGCTCCTTGGGAGGCTGAGGTGGGAGTGTAGCGGGACAATCAAAGACGGGAGAGACCGAACAGAGTTCAGGAGAGCCCTTTATTATTAAGGTGATCACTGGCTCAGTAGGACTAGGGTCCAGAAAGTCTGAGCACCAGACAAAGAAAGAAGCCACCTTTTAAGCAGTCAGTGGCTGGGAGCTATGTGATGCAGGAAGCGTACTTACAGAAGCGAGAACAAAGACAGTTGATCAGTCTTTTACATTTATCTATACTACATGTTCTACAGCCCTGGGAAACCATGTTTCTTTATCAACTTTGTAACTTTGCAGCTGCCCTAGGGAGGTGAAGCAGGAACTCACTGAGCCTCAAGGAATGTGAAAGTAGTGAGAACAGATAAGTCTCTCAGAGCACAGAAGGAAAAACAGGCAGTTAGTATTCTTCTCTAACTTAGACTATGGCGGTGCTACATTATACTAAGCCCAGAGGGGAAAGTTAATTTTCTGGCTTTACATATTGTAAAATTCATTAATTTCCTCTTCAGGAGGATTGCTTGAGCCCAGGAGGTTGAGGCTGCAGTGAGCCATGAAAGTGCCACTGCACTCCAGTCTGGGTGACAGAGTGAGATCCTGTCTCAAAAAAAAACAAAAACCAAAAAAGACAAAAATCTATTTAAAGGTCAGAACTTGGAAATGATGCCAAAACAAACTTATCAGTGAAGAAGCAGTTAAAATAAAAATGATCTGTTATCTAGTTGATCTCAAAGCACTCAAGACTCACTGATGTCAAACAACTCAAAGAAGGGGACTTCTTAAATCTTAAAGGTTAGTACTGCCTTCCTCACTCATCAACATTTAGGCTGTTTCTGCAGAGATTCCTGGCAGCATTGGGATTATGTTGTCTTAGGTGGGGGAACCTAGAGGCCAATCCTGGGATAAGGCTTCGGAGTACAAGGAGGTTATTCAGGAGGAAAAGAACCATAGGTAAGGGGTGGAAGAAGCAGCAAGGCAGGGAGGAACCCAACAGAGTACGTTATCCAGTCGGATACTGTGGCAGGTAATGGAAGCTTAACTCCTACTGGAGAAGTTGCTGGAGCCAGTGTAAAACATACGCCTCAGACTTATTCCTCCTGAGCTATGAGGTTGCTGGGGGATTGATTGATTGATTGATTGATTTCGAGAGAGGGTCTCACTCTGTTGCCCAGACTGGAGTGCAGTGGTGCAATCTCGGCTCACTGCAATCTCTACCTCCCAGGCTCAAGCGATTCTCATGCCTCAACCTCCTGAGTAGCTGGGATTACAGGCATGTACCACCACACCCGGCTAATTTTTTTTTTTTTTTTTTGTTACGGAGTCTTACTCTGTCGCCCAGGCTGGAGTGCAATGGATCTATCTAGGTCTTTAGTTTTGTTTGTTTAATCTCATTGACCCTCTTGCTAAGATGCATTTTAGTATTTTTCTTTTCTTTTCTTTTCTTCTCTTTTTTTTTTTTTTTTTTGAGGAGGAGTCTCACTCTGTCGCCCAGGCCGGAGTGCAGTGGCTCAAACTCAGCTCACTGCAACATCTGACTCCTGGGTTCAAACGATTCTCCTGCCTCAGCCTCCCAAGTAGCTGGGACTACAGAATCCCGCCACCATGCCCAGCTAATATTTGTGTTTTTAGTAGGGACGGGGTTTCACCATGTTGGCCAGGCTGGTCTCAAACTCCTGACTTCAGGTGATCCACCCACCTTGGCCTCCCAAAGTGTTGGAATTACAGGTGTGAGCCACCATGCCTGGCCACATTTTAATATATTTAACAAGAATATAAAGTGTTCATTAACATAATTGCTAAATCCTTTTATTTAAATTGTGGGATAGAGTAAGAAAAATAAACATAAATTACAGTCTGTCATAAGGAAGGGATGACAGCTAGAAGAATACAGATAGAATGGGTAACTTTCGGTCTGGCAGAATAAAATGCATCTGTCCAATGTGAGGTAGTCAAGGGGAGAAAAACGTCTGGTGCATAGAAAATGCAAAGAAGGCAGAAAAAGTCCAATTATATATTACTATATATAAGAAAGGATCTAATTGTACCTTTGGTCAAAAGACAAATTCTCGGCCGGGCGCGGTGGCTCACGCCTGTAATCCCAGCACTTTGGGAGGCCGAGGCGGGTGGATCATGAGGTCAGGAGATCGAGACCATCCTGGCTAACAAGGTGAAACCCCGTCTCTACTAAAAATACAAAAAATTAGCCGGGCGCGGTGGCGGGCGCCTGTAGTCCCAGCTACTCGGGAGGCTGAGGCAGGAGAATGGCGTGAACCCGGGAAGCGGAGCTTGCAGTGAGCCGAGATTGCGCCACTGCAGTCCGAAGTCCGGCCTGGGCGACAGAGCGAGACTCCGTCTCAAAAAAAAAAAGACAAATTCTCAGTTTAAGTTAAAAAAATCAGACAAATCTGGCTGGGCCCAGTGGCTCACGCTTGTAATCCCAGCACTTTGGGAGGCCGAGGCGGGCAGCTCCCCTGAGGTCAGATAGAGAACAGCCTGGCCAACAGGGTGAAACCCCGTGTCTACTAAAAATGCAAAAAATTGGGTGTGGTGGCGGTGCCTGTAGTCCCAGCTCCTTGGGATGCTGAGGCAGGAGAATCGCTTGAACCTGGGAGGCGGAGGTTGCAGTGAGCTGAGATCGTGCCACTGCACTCCAGCCTGGGTGACAGAGAGAGACTCCATCTTCAAAAACAAACAAAACAGTTAGACAAATTCATGAGTATTAGTCTATAAGAGACATAGATAAAACAGAAGGATAAATATAGGTTGAAATTTGAAATTTTGGGGGAAGAAGAAAAAATTACTAACCAATTAGAAGGCCAAAATGTCAGAGTGGCAGTTTTTAATATCAGAAAGTAGACTAGAAGGCAAAGAAAGACAAGGTTTGAAGAGGGTGTCACTGTTAAAAGGAGCCATGGGTCATATGGATGTATGTGCAACTGACAAAATAGCGTCCAGCTGAAGTAGAAACTGCGAGAACCTGTCACCCAGTGCTTGATCTGAGGAGAACCACAATGACTTAACAGAATGTGGGTTCATTACATGGATTAGTTCTTAAATCATTGTGGGAGTTGGCAGAGCAGTTTGTCCCAGTGTCACAAAGAGTCTGTTTCTATTTTTTTTTTTCCTTTTTTTGAGATAGTCTCACTTTGTCACAGGCTGGAGCGCAGAGGCGTGATCTCAGCTCACCGCAACCTCCATCTAACCGGTTCAAGCAATTCTCCCTGCCTCCCCCTCCCTAGTAGCGGGGATTACAGGCCTGAACCACCATACCTGGCTAATTTTTGTATTTTTTAGTAGAGATGGGGTTTTGCCATGTTGGCGAGGCTGGTCTTGTACTCCTGCCCTCAGGTGATCCTCCCGCCTCGGCCACCCAAGTGCTGGGATTACAGGTGTGAACCACTGTGCCAGGCTTCTGTTTGCTCTTAAGCTGCTTACAGCCAGTGCCTCCCTCCTACCCACATTTGGGCAAGCTGACAAAAAGGCCCATGCCTGCCTTAGCACTAAAGCGAAGTTCAAACCAGGCATGTCCAGGCCCAACCCGCACCAAAGTGGAAACCAGGGCTACTTGCTCCTACTCTCTCTTAAGCCACAGGAAACACTTCTGTCCTCAGCTCAGGGACTGCACTGCCCTCCCCGAAAATCCTGTGATGTGACTGAAGTTTTCTTCTCATTCTCTGTCGTGTGTGTGCTCGCGTGTGTGTGTATGTGCATGCGTGTGTGAGTATGCACACATAGTGTGTGCACGTGTGTTTGTGTGCATGATATCATCCACCTCCACATCTGACCTTTGATTGGGAAGGGGATTTGTCCTCCCTCTGCAGAGCAGTCACAACAGCAGGGTTGTTCCTGTTGTCTCTGACATTCAGCTTGAAGTTACTACAGGTCAGCCCGGCCAGCAGTCAGGAAGGAAAGCTGGAAGAGAAGTGGAGGGGAACAGAGACAAACTGGAAGGCAGAGTGGCTCACTAGAGCCCAGCAGGACAGACCGAAACCCACTTCTGTCTCTCACTTCTTCTGGCCTCAATAGTGCTGGTCTCCCGCTTTGGCTCTGAAGCACATGCACCTGCCCCAGGACTCGGAGGAGCTGCACACAGGCACCCAGCAGAAGCTGATGTTGCTGCGGCCCTGCCCCAGACTCTGAGTTAAGCCAGAAGGTCAGCAATGTTCACGAGCTGTTACCATTTCTGGCACCCTTCAGAGCATTAAAAAAACCCTACTAGTTCACATCTGCCTTCTGAATGTTTACTGTGGGCAACAACATGGAAAGGGGTTCTAGGAAACAGTTCCAGCTTAGGTGAGTTGACATAGTACAAACAAGGCCACCGCAGAATCAGGGCAAGAAATAGGAAATCAACAATTGTCACTGAAGAGCTTAACATGCCCCTCCCAGATGCTGAAAGAAGGAGGCAGGAAACAGGATGCAGAAAATGTGTGAATGTGGACTAATGAACAGAACTTTAAACCCAAGGAAGAAAATAGTATTTTGGGGGGTGCTCATGACACTTACAAAAACTAACCATGTACTGTGTCACAAAAGAAGGCAATGATGTTGGAGATCAGAAACAAAGGGACAGCTAAAATCTTCCCATACACGTGGAAACTAAGTGCATACAATAACTGACCCTTTGGTTAAAAAGGAAATTGTACGATAAAGAAAACATACAATATGTAGAACTGATATGGCTAGGCTTGGGGGCTCACATGTGTAGTCCTAGCACTTCGGGAGGCCAAGGTGGGACAATTGTGTGAGTCCAGCAGTTCGAAAGCAGCCTGGGCAATACCGCAAAACCCCATGTCTACAAAAAAACCTTAAAAATTAGCCTGGTATAGTAGAGTGTGCCTGTAGTCCCAGCCACTCAGAAGGCTGAGGCAGAAAAATCACTTGAGCCCCGAAGTTTGAGGCTATAGTGAGCCGTGATTGCGCCACTGCACTCCAGGCTGGCCAACACAGCAAGAGCCTGTCTCTAAATAAATAAATAAATAAATAAATAAATAAATAAATAAATAAATAAAGGAGCTGATGGACAATGGAAACGTGGCATGTCAGAATGTGTGGAACATAGCTAAATTTGTCCTTGAAGGGAAATTGAGAGCATTAAATAGATATATTAGAAAAGAGGACGGGCTCAGTGGCTCACACCTGTAATCGCAGCACTTTGGGAGGCTGAGGTGGAGGGATCACCTGAGGTCAGGAGTTCGAGACCAGTCTGGCCAATATGGTGAAACCCGATCTCTGCTACAAAACATTAGCCAGGCATGGTGGCGGGTGCCTGTAGTCCCAGCTGCTCAGGAGGGTGAGGCAGGAGAATTGCTTGAACCTGGGAGGCAGAGGTTGCAGCAAGCTGAGATCGTGCCACTGCGCCCCAGCCTGGGCGACAGAGTGAGACCCTATCTCAAAAATAATAAATGGGGAAAAACTCATTTCATACATGAAAATGTAAGAATCCTCATAAAGACAGTAACTGAATCTAGCAGTGTTAAATAGTACATCATGAATAAGATGTTTCATTCCAGAAATGCAAAAATACTTTAACACCCAAACCTTAGACACTGTAAGTTTTAGGACATTAGTGGACTAAAAAGATGAAAAATCACACTGATCTATTCATCAGATACTTACTGAATGCCTCTTATGTGCTAGTCTCTGTTTTGATGGCAGGGGGAAATGTACCAGGGAGCGTTCTGCAGCACTTAGAACCAGTGCATGAGGCTGGGTGTGGTGGCTCACGCCTGTAATCCCAGCACTTTGGAAAGCTGAGGCAGTTGATCCTGAGGTTAGGAGTTGGAGACCAGCCTGGCCAACATGTCAAAACCCTGTCTCTACTAAAAGTACAAAAAACTCAGCCTTGCGTAGTAGCGGGCGCCTGTCATCCCAGCTACTTGGGAGGCTGAGGCAGGAGAATCGCGTGAACCCAGGAGGCGGTGGTTGCAGTGAGCCAATACCACACCACTGCGCTCCAGCCTGGGAGAGCGAGAATCCATCTGAGAAAAAAAAAAAAAGAACCAGTGTATGAAGCATCCATGTCACAGACCCATCCAGACTGTGTTCTGAGGCACAAAAGTTAGGACACATGACCACGTTTTTACAAAGACTCAAAATTCAGAGAGAGAGGGGAACGGGAGTGGTAGGGATGGGGAGATGAAGGAGGAAAAATGAATTCATGGAAACAGAATTGTGTCAGAGGATTATATGCATTTACAAGGCATTTACTCCGTATTGCCAAATCTGCCTCAAGACAGGTATTATTTTCTTTACAATTCTTTCTGTTAAAATATTTATTACAATGTAATCGGAATTGTTTATATAGAGAGTCTGAAACTTCTCTTTGCCCCGTTTCTGTGTTTCAGACAGCAAAGGCATATAAAGCCATGAAAAACTGCTACATACATGGTCTCTTATTTTATTTTTACAGATATCTATTGAAATCGAGGCTCCTACCCAGATATCTTTAGTGGATGAAGCATCAGGAGAGGTAACTAAATATTAAATATTGATTTTTTTAAAAAAATGCGGTGCTAAAATGATTGTTTATATTTCTCTTTGATTTTGTAGTCAGATGCTCCACCCATCAGCTATACCCTCAATCTTTCTCTTTGATTTTGAATGCTCATTTAACCATAAATAAAAATCTAGTAATTGAGTGGGGTTTTAGGGGCAAAAAATCCCTTTGTGATTGTGTAAGTCCATTTGGGCTGGACTCACAAAACTACCGTAGACTGAGTGGCTTATACAATAGACACTTGTTGCTTAGGTTTCTAGAGACTGGAAATCCAAGATCCAGTCTCCAGCAGATTTCGTGTCTGGTGAGGGCCCACTTCCTGGTTCTTTTTTTTTTTGAGACGGAGTCTCACTCCGTCACCCAGGCTGGAGTGCAGTGGTGTGATCTTGGCTCACTGCAACCTCCACCTCCTGGGTTCAAGCGATTCTCCTGCCTCAGCCTCTCTAGTAGCTGGGATTACAGGCGCCTGCCACCACGACCAGAGCCCAGCTAATTATTGTATTTTTAGTAGAGAGGGGGTTTCACCATGTTGGTCAGACTCATCTTGAACTCCTGACCTCAAGTGATCTGCCTGCCTTGGCCTCCCAAAGTGCTGGGGTGACCGGTGTGAGTCACTGTGCCTGGCCACTTCCTGGTTCTTAGATGCTGTCTTTTTCCCTGTGTCCTCCCATAGTAAAGGAGCAAACAAGCTCCCCTGGGCATCTTTTATAAAGGCACTGATGTCACTCACAAGGCTTCTATGCCCAACAACTAATCACCTCCCAAAGGCCTCCTAATAAAACCACTTTGGGGGTTAGGATTTCAACATACGGATTTTGGGAAGGGACACGAACATTTAGTCCTTAACAGTGATGTATTTATTTCCCATGTTGTAAAGGATTGGGCATGGCTTATTTTTTGTTCCTTATTACATGCTAATGATGGGAACCCTGGTGTTGATATTACTACCTGATGTTATTGTCACATTTACTGAGTTTTATAATATTCAGAATTTAAAATGGTGATTAATATTTTTGCAGCAAATTCATGGATATTGTACTTTTTTTCTGAACCCTTATTCAGAAAAGGGGCACTGCCAAGTGGAAAAATTTATTTTTCATCATTAAATTTTGAGTAGTACTTTTGTGAATGTATGGTTTTAATAAGTAGGACTATAGACATACACCCCCCGTTTTTTTAACCTTTTCCTATTTTGGTTAATATTGGTTTTGTAGCTTGATTATAGCACACTGCTTTGCCATGTTTAACTGTGAGGGTGTCTTGTGTTGTTTGAATGTGATCTGAACAGAAACTGACCTTTTCAGATGTTTCTTCTTTGGAGATCAGACAGTTGAAGTTGAAGTATTCTTCCCATCAAATTATCCTGAGGGAGGACTACAGAGCCAGTTTAGGGAGAATTAAAAAGGAAAAAAAAAAATAGGTGAACCTTTGTAAATGCCATCCTGGACTCTGCCAACTGCTTTTCCGGGGAATAGTGTGATAGTGTGTGGCCTTGTCACATCAGGGATATTGGTGAAAGGCATTCCCTGAGCTGGGGGCTGACAGCAGGCTGACTTTTGAGCAGTCTTGCCTCCACTTTGATTTTTTATGTTTCTTCCTGTGTGCCATGACTTTTGTGCATTGTTTATCCAGCTCCAACCAGGGGGAGACCCATTCGAAAGGGTCCTCCAGAATGAATGGAGACTTCCATGAGGAGTCACTGTCACTGAGCAGTGACCTGGTGTGTGCAGAGCTCTCCCCACTTACTGATGGCTGGAGAGGCAGTAGTGCCCGCAGGTCTTGCCCTTGCCGAACAGTATGATGTGCAGTGTGTATCGGGACCAGGCCTCATCCAGGCTTTAATCTTTTTTTTTTTTTTTTTGAGACTGAGCCTCACTGTGTCGCCCAGGCTGGAGTGCAGTAGGGCGATCTTGGTTCACTGCAATCTCCACCTCCTGGGTTCAAGCGATTCTCTTGCCTCAGCCTCCTGAGTAGCTGGGATTACAGGTGCCCACCACCACGCCTGGCTAATTTTTGTATTTTTAGTAGACACAGGGTTTCACCATGTTGGCCAGACTGGTCTCTAACTCCTGACCTCAAGGGGTTCACTCACCTCAGCCTCCCAAAGTGCTGGAATTACAGGCGTGAGCCACCGCACCTGGCTAAGGCTTTAAAAATTGTTAAATAGTGGCCGGGCTTGGTGGCTCTCACCTGTAATCCCAGCACTTTGGGAGGCCGAGGCAGACGTATCACTTGAGGTCAAGAGTTCAAGACTAGCCTGGCGAACATGGTGAAACCCCATCTCTACTAAAAATACAAAAAATTAGCCAGGCGTGATGGCAGGCGCCTGTAATCCCAGCTGGGGAGGCTGGGGCAGGAGAATTGCTTGAACCCAGGAGGCAGAGGTTGCAGTGAGCCAAGATCACGCCATTGCACTCCAGCCTGGGCGACAGAGTGAGACTCCGTCTCAAAAAAAAAAAAAAAAGTAAATAGCTTTATTGACATAGAAATCAAGTCACACACTTGTGTATCCATCACCACAATCAATTTCAGAATATTTTCAGCACCCCAAGGGAAGAAGCCTTTAGCGATCGCAATGCCTCCCTATTCTCTCCTTCCCCAACCCCCGGCAACCACTACTGTATTGGACTCTCTGTCTCCATGGGTTCACCTATTCCGGATATTTCCTATGAGTGGAATCATACAACATGTGCTCATTTCATATCCGGCTTCTTTCACTGAGGATGTTTTCAAGGATCATCCATGTTGCAGCACGTGTCACTTCTTTTTATGGCCAAATAATATTTCATTGTATGGCTAGACCACATTTTCCTGATTCGTGCATCAGTTGATAGACATTTGAACTGGTTCCACCTTTTGGCTAGTATGAAGAATGCCGCTGTGCCAGCTGGGCGTGGCAGTGCCCGCCTGTAGTCCCAGCTATTTGGGAGGCTGAGGTAGGAGAATGGCTTGAACCCAGGAATCTTGATCGCACCACTGCACTCCAGAGTAGGCGACAGAGCCAGACTCCGTCTCCCAAAAAAAAAAAAAAAAGAATGCTGCTGTGAACAGTCAGGCACACATTTTTTGTGGCCATCGGTTTTCACTTATCTTGGTGGCACACTCCTGTAGTCCCAGCTACTGGGGAGGCTGAGGCAGAGAATTGCTTGATCCCAGGTGGCGGAGGTTACAGTGAGCCAAGATTGCACCACCGCATTCCAGCCTGGGGGACAGAGCAAGACTCTTGTCTCAAAATAAAAATAAATAAATAAATAAATAAATAAATAAATAAATAAATAAATGGAAGTCTTCAGCAGCTGTTTCCCCAGCGACCTTGTATTTTATCATCACTTGTATTTCTCTCTCCATGAGCAAGAATGATCTCAACATATAATTGAAAGTGCTAACATATCACAAGGAACATCTATTAGAAATTGGGTAGCATCTCCATTCTGTTATTTTCTACCCGAGGGAAGAGGTAACAGCTGAGTGCCTGGTGTGGTTCAAATTACTGTGGGATTCCATTACCATTGTATTTTAATGGATATATTTGCAGGAAGCATTTACTATGCAGCTCACATGTATTTGCTTTATTTGGGATTTTATATGAGACTCAGAAGTCACTGGGATATATTTCTTTTTCAGGTTTTTATTTCAGGGCAATAATGGAACTATCTTGTACACAGGGGACTTCAGATTGGTGCAAGGAGAAGCTGCTAGAATGGAGCTTTTGCACTCCGGGGGCAGGTACTGGGCCTCGTATAGGTGGTTTTTTGTTTGTTTGTTTGTTTTGTGAAACGGAGTGTTGCTCTGTCGCCCAGGCTGGAGGGCAGTGATGTAATCTTGGCTCACTGCAACCTCTGCCTCCAGAGTTCAAGTGATTCTCCTGCCTCAGCCTCCCAAGTAGCTGGGATAACAGGTGTGTGCCACCACACTCAACTAATTTTGTATTTTTAGTAGAGATGGGGTTTTGCCATGTTGGCCAGGCTGGTCTTGAACTCCTGACCTCAGGTGATCTGCCAGCCCTGGCCTCTCAAATTGCTGAGATTACAGGCATGAGCCACTGTGCCTGGCCCCTTGTACAGTTCTTATGTGTATGACTGAATAAAGTATTATTGTTCTGGCCATAAACAGAACAATATTGTTCTGGCCATAAACAGGTGTGGTGGCTCATGCCAGTAATCCCAGCAGTTTGGGAGGCCGAGGTGGGTGGATCATTTGAGGCCAGGAGTTCGAGACCAGACTGGTCAACATGGTGAAACCCTGTCTCTACTAAAAAATACAAAAATTAGCAAGGAGTGGTGATGCACACCCGTGATCCCAGATACTTGGGAGGCTGAGGCAGGAGAATTGCTTGAACCCGGGAGATGGAGGAGGTGGCAGTGAGCAGACATTGCACTTCAGCCTGGGCAACAGAGCGAAACTCCATCTCAAAAAACAAAAAAAGTTACACATAATTTATATCACATTGGATGGCTAACATCAATTTTTTTCTTCTTTTCAAAGACATCCAAAGTGTATATTTAGATACTATGTTGTGTGATCCAAGATTTTACCAAATTCCAAGTCAGGTAAGTCTGCCTGGAGGAAAAGGGTTATCATCTGGGTGTGCCCGTGTTTTTAGTAGGAAGTTTGTAGGGTGACAGGTCATATCCTAACTGTCCCCGTAGGTGTGAGTACCTGGGACTGTTGGGAAGGAAAAGGCTATGTGCGGCTCTCCACCTGTTAAATGTCTCTTTAAAATCCTGTCTAGGAGGAGTGTTTATGTGGAGTCTTAGAGCTGGTTCAAAGCTGGATCACTCAGAGCCTGTACCATGTTGTGTGGCTGAACTGCAAAGCGGCTTATGGCTATGAATATTTGTTCACCAACCTTAGTGAAGAATTAGGAGTCCAGGTATGGTGACTGTTCATTCTTTTTTTTTTTTTTTTTTTTTCTTTTTTTGAGAGGGAGTCTTGCTATGTCACCCAGGCTGGAGTGCAGTGATGCGATCTCGGCTCACTGCAGCCTCCACCTCCCGGGTTCAAGCAATTCTCCTGCCTCAGCCTCCTGAGTAGCTGGGATTACAGGTGTGAGCCACCATGCCCGGCTAATTTTTGTATTTTTATTAGAGACAAGGTTTCACCATGTTGGCCAGGCTAATCTTGAACTCCTGACCTCAAGCTATCTGCCTGCCTCGGCCTCCCAAAGTGCTGGGATTATAGGCGTGAGCCAGTGCTCCCAGCATATTCATTCTTTTCTCTTGCTCCCTTCCATCCTCCCAGCTCACCTTTCCTCCCCCTCCTTGCCTGCTAAATAACTGCAAACAGGGACAGATGGAAGCACCCTATCAAGACGTGTCTGCAGCAGAGGTTCGCGGGCCCTCTGAAGGAATATATCATCTTAGTTCAGTCACATCCTCCTGGGAGAAAATTGACAGAAGCCCAAATGGCTTACAAGAGCCTTCAGTGAAATGCCCCATAGACAAAGTATTTTTCCCAAACTTTGGGTCATGAAATAAATTTAGCGATTGTGACCAGCATTGAAAATAAATTTGAACAAGGAGATATGGGAGTGGATTTTTTGCAGTACATGCTCCTCTGTTGCATGTCATGTATATGCCTTAAAGATGATTCTTGATTTTTTATTTTATTTTATTTTATTTT
Source organism: Homo sapiens (assembly GCF_000001405.40). Lineage (NCBI taxonomy): Eukaryota > Metazoa > Chordata > Mammalia > Primates > Hominidae > Homo > Homo sapiens. The sequence goes on along the minus strand of NC_000010.11, from coordinate 15,016,154 downwards.
TGAGACTGTCTTGCTCTGTCACCCAGGCTGGAGTGCAGCAGTGGCATGGTCTCGGTTCACTGCAACCTCCGCCTCCTGGGTTCAAGTGATTCTCTTGCCTCAGCCTCTGAAGTAGCTCAGATTACAGGCCTGAGCCACCACACCTGGCTAATTTTTGTATTTTTAGTAGAGATGGGGCTTCAGCATGTTTGTCAGGCTGGTCTCGAACTCCTGACCTCAAGTGATCCACTGGCCTCCGCCTCCCAAAGTGCTGGAATTACAGGCATGAGCCATGGCGCCTGGCCGAGGGTAGATGATTCTTGATTGTTTTTGTCTGTGTGGATTACTGCTTTATTCCTCGCATTTAGAATAAAGCTCGACACACAGTAGGTGTACAAGAACATTAATTGAATTTCCCTTGAAGGACTGAAGGACAATATTAACATCATTAAATGACATCCCTGAGCCGAGTCTCTGTAATTTTTCGCTTCCGTCAGTGATGGCAGCGATCCTGACCAGTCAGCCTTGTGCCTGTTGACATGCTGGCAGGATACCAGAGTGCACTGAAATAGCCAAAAACTGCTTTTCAAGAAAGAAGAGAGGGTGAATTCACTAACTGGGTGTTTTGCCCTGAGTAATTAACCTTGAACAATTTATAGGAAATACAGTTCAAATAATTTGCCCGTACATATTATTTTCCTTAGATTCATGTCAATAAGCTAGACATGTTTAGGAACATGCCTGAGATCCTTCATCATCTCACAACAGACCGCAACACTCAGATCCATGCATGGTGGCACCCCAAGGTACATGTGTGAGTGGCTCGAGACCTCCAAAAGTTTCCCACCAGAGACCTAGGCTGCGTGTTGCTCTGGTAGGTTGATGAGCTTTGGCTGGGACACCCCACGGCAGTCGGGTGCACCAAGGGAACGGATTGCCCTACGCCCACACCTGGAGGACTGTGGGTATAAGGTGTCCAAGAAAAAAGCTCAGATCTGCTGACAGCAGGTATGTTCCTTGGGATATACTATCTGACAGGGGGAATGCAGCCTCGTATCAGAAACAAAGCAGGTCATTTGCCATCTAGCAGAGCCTAAGAGCAGAAGGCAGGTGAGAGAATTCTTAGGAGCTGTGAGGTTTTGTAGACTGTGGATCCCAAACTTTGCAGTATTAGCTAAGCCTTTGTTTGAGGTCACAAAGGAGGCGGGGACCGGGAACCTTTTGAATGGGGATCCCAACAACAGCAAGTCTTTCACGAGTTAAAGGAGAAACTTATGTCAGCCCCAGCCCTGGGGCTACCTGATCTGACAAAGCCTTTTACATCGTATGTGTCAGAGAGAGAAAAGATGGCAGCCGGACTTTGAACCCAAACTGTGGGGCCCTGGCCGAGGCTGGTGGCCTACGTCTCTAAACAAGTAGACGGGGTCTCTAAAGGATGGCCCCCATGTTTGAGGGCCTTGGCAGCAACTGCCCTGCTAGTACAAGAAGCAAATAAGCTGACTCTTGGGTAGAACCTGAACAGAAAAGGCCCCCCATGCTGTGGTGACTTTAATGAATACTAAAGGACATGATTGGCTAACGAATGCGAGACTCACCAAGTACCAAAGTGAAAATCCCCATATAACCATTGAAGTTTGTAACATCCTACACCCTGCAACCTTGCTCCCACTATCAGAGAGCCCTGTCAAGCATGATTGTGTAGAAATGTTGGACTCGGTTGACTCTAGCAGACCTGACCTCCGGGTCCAGCCTTGGGCATCAGTAGACTGGGAACTATAGGTGGACGGGAGCAGCTTCATCATCCCGCAAGGAGAGAGAGGTGCAGGGTATGCAGTGGTAACCCTGGACACTGTTGTTGAAGCCAGATCGATGCCCCAGGCCACTTCACCCAGAAAGCTGAACTCATTGCTTTCATTCAGGCCTTAGAACTCAGTGAGGGTGAGACTGTCAACATTTACACTGATTCTCGGTATGTCTTTTTAACCCTTCAAGTGCATGGAGCGTGATAGAAGGAAAAGGGCCTATTGAACTCTGGGGGAAAAGGCAGAAAATAACAACCAGAAATCTTGCATTTATTAGAAGCAGTATGGAAACCCCACAAGGTGGCAGTTATGCATTGCAGAGGACACCAGCGAGCTTCCACCTTGGTGGGCTTGGGGAATTCCCGCGCTGACTCAGAGGCTGCAAAAGCAGCATCTGTCCCCTTCCGGGCATCAGTCATAGCCCCTCTGCTCCCTCAAGCACCTGATCTTGGACCTGCTTATTCTAAAGAATAAAAGGACTTTCTCCAGGTAGAGGGAAGGACAAGTGATGGAGGAAGGATGGAGTCAGTTACCAGATGGGAGCGTAGCTGTGCCACAGCTGTGAGGAACTGCAGTTGTACTGGCACCCATCTATGTCAGGAGTCACTTGAAAAGTTGTTAGGCTGGTATTTCTACATCTCACATTTGTCAGCTCTTGCCAAAACGGTGAGGCAGTGGTGTGTCACCTGCCTACAGCCTAATGCGAGGCAAGGTCCAGCCGTTCAGCCCAGTGTACAAGCTTATGGAGCAGTCCCCTTTGAAGATCTCCAGGTAGACTTCACAGAGATGCCAAAGTGTGGAGGTAACAAGTATTTACTTGTTCTTGGGCGTACCTACTCTGGGTGGGTGGAGGCTTATCCAACACGAACTGGGAAACCTCGTGAAGAAACCCGTGTGCTTCTTCGAGGTCTGATTCCTAGATTGGGACTGCCCTTCCGGATCGGCTCAGATAACGGGCCTGCATTTGTAGCTGACTTGCTACAGAAGACAGCAAAGGTATTGGGGATCACACGGAAACTGCATGCCGCCTCCCAGCCTCAGAGTTCTGGAAAGGTGGAGCGGATGAATTGGACTATCAAAAATAGTACTATTGTCTTCCCCTCTGGATATGTAAAACACCACCACGAGGGGCGTCAAACCACCTGCTAAATTTGAGGGAATGTTATCCTCTTCCCCGCTCCCCCGGCCCCAGATATTAGAGACAATAACACACGGGTAATGTACAACCACTGCTTTATTGGGAGTAATATCATCTCCTCCCTTCTTGGATATTAGGAACAATATCACACTGTGCGTGTACGCCTGTCGCGAAATTCAATGGAATGTCATCCTGTGCTTCCCTGGATATGATGAACAGTAAGTATCACGGGGGATGTACAACTTCTGAGATATTGGGAGTGACCTCATCCTCTCCCATCTGGAACTTAGGGACAGTATCACAAGGGTAGTGTACACCCTCTGTGACATTAGGATGAATATCATCCTCCCGCCCACTGGATATTAAAAACCGTATCACAAGGGGCGTGCACACACACTTCGATATTGGTATGAATACCATCCTCTCCCTCTTTGGATATTCAGTGCAGTATTTCAGGTGGGGAATACACTACCTACAATATTGGAAGTAATATGATTTTCTCCCACCCAGGATATTGGAAAGAATATCACGGGGGGTGTGAACAACCCCTGCGATATTTGGAGTTATATCATCGTCTCCCCTCAAGAATATTAAGAACAATATCTTAGGGGTGGGGGTTGTACACTCCTTTTCATATTCGATATCATCCTCTTCCCCCTTGGATATTAGGAACAATATCAGGAAGGGATGTACAGACCCTGCGACCTTTGCTGTCATATAATTGTCTCTCCCCTAGATATTAAGGAAAATGTCACGGGGGATGTGAACACCCCTGCGATATTCGGAGTAGTATCATCCTGTCCAACCTTGCGTATTGGGAACAACATCACAGGTGGGTTGTACTGCCTCTGCGATATTGGGAGTAAAATTTTCCTCTCTTCCCCTGGATACTAGGAAGGGTATCAGAGGGGGAGGGTACACATTCCCTGCGATATTCAATGTCACCTTATCCTCTCCCTCCCAGGGTATTCAGAACAATAGGACAGGAGGGGTGTACACACCCTGCGATATTGCGAGTCATATCATCCTCTTTCACTCTGGATGTTAGGAACAATCTCACAGGGTTGTGTACGCCCCCTGCGATATTGGGAGTAATATCATCCTCTCTCCCTGTGGATATTAGGAAGAGTATCACAGGGCTGTGTAAACGCCCTGCGGTACTGGGAGTAATATCATCCCCTCTTCCTCTGGAGATGAGGAAGATTTTCACAGGGGTGTGTACACCCCCTGCGATATTGGGAGGAACATCATCCTCTCCACCTGGGAAATGAGTAAGAAGGACACAGGGGCAGGGTGGACTCCTCCTGCGATATTGGCAGTAATGTCATCCTCCCCAAACCTGGATGTTAGCAACGAGATCACAGAGGGGGTGTACACACCCTGCGATATTGGAAGTAATATGATCCTCTCCCCAACTGGATATTGGGAAAGATATCACAGCACGGGTATACATTTCCTACACTGTTGGAAGTAATATCATTCATTTCCTTTCTGGATATGAGGAAGAATATCACAGGGGTGCTGTACAATTATTTCCATATTGGGAGTACTCTCATCCTCTATTTTCCTGGATATTGGGCCCAATAACACAAAAAGGTGTACAACCCCTGCAATATTGGGAGTAATAGCATACTCTCCTTCCCTGGATGTTAGAAAACAATATCATCAGGGCTGAACACCCCCTGCGATAATGGGAGTCATATTGACTCTTTCACAGGCCATTTGGAACAATATCACAGGGGTGATACACCCCTGTTTACAAACAGGGGTGGTTTACACCCCCTGGGATATTGGGAGTAACATCATTCTCTCCACTACAGATATTAAGAACAATATCCCTGTGGGAGGTGGTACACCCCCAGTGATATTGGGAATAATGTCATCCTCTCCTTCCCTGGATATTCGGAACAATATCACAAGGGGGTGTACACCTTCCGTGATATTGGAAGCAGTATCATCCTCTCCCTCACTGGATATTAGAAAAACATATCACTCATGGTGTACAGCCACTGTGATATTAGGAAGAATATTACAGGGTGTACACCCACTCTGACTTTAGGAGAAATAGCTCCCTCAAATGTCACAAATAATACCACAGGGTATACAGTGATATCTCCCTAGGATATTACAAATACTATCACAGGGTGTATACCCACTGTGATAACAGGAGTAATATGTCCCAAGGATACTACCAAGAATATCACAGGGCTGTAAACCCACTATGACATCAGGAGTGATATCTCCCTAGGATATTATGAGTAACATCACAGAATGTACACCTATGGTGTGCACCCATGGTGATATTAGGTGTAATATCAACCCAGGGCATAACCAATAAGACCACAGGGAGTACATACATGAGGTACACCCACAGTGATGTTATGAGAACTATCTCCCTAGGATAATACGAATAACATCGCAGAGTGGACACACATGGTATACACCCACTGTGGCACTAGGACTAATAACTTTCTAAGATATTACGAATAGCATCACAGAATAGAAACACATGGTGTACCCCCACTGTAACGCTAGGTGTAATTTCTCCCCAGGATATTACAAGTAACATCTCAGTGCGTGCACACATGGTGAACACCCGCTGTGACATTAAGTGTAATATCCCCCTAGGATATTACCAATAACATCACAGGGTGTCCACCCATGGTGTACACGCACTGTGATGTTAGGGATAATATCTCCCTGGGATATGATGAATAATACCACAGGGTGTAGAGAAACTGTGATATTAGAGGTAATATCTCTCTAGGAGATTATGAATAATATCACAGGGTGTACACCCACTGTGATACTGGGAGCAATATCTCTCTAGGATAGTACAAAGAATATCACAGAGTGTACACCCACTGTGATATTAGGAGAAATATCTCTCTGGGATAATATGAATTATATCACAGAGTGTACACTCATGGTGTACATCCACTTTGATATTAGGAGTAATATCTTCCTAGGACATTACAAATAACATCACGGAGTGTACACCCACTGTAATATTAGGAATCGTATCTCCCTAGGTGATTACAAATAATATCAAAGGGTATACACCCACTGTGATATTAGGAGTAATATCTTCCTAGGGTATTATGAATAATTTCACAGTCTGTACACACATGGTGTACACTCACTGTGATATTAGGAGTAATTTCTACCTAGTGGATAACAAATAACATTGCAGAGTGTATGCCCACTTTGATATTAGCTGTAATATTTTTCAAAG